>NC_000004.12:79224411-79375926 GCF_000001405.40 Homo sapiens | reverse complement strand
TAATTCTTCACGGCCATTTTCCTAGTATCTAGCAGTTGTGCAACTAGTTTATTGAATGTGTGAATGAAAACATGAACAAAATGAATAAATGAATGAACAAAAATGTCTAGCAAACAAAATCATACCCTTTGACGACAAAATATAAATATCTAGGAGACGTGTATAACACTGGTGATTTTGTATTATGTTAGAAGACAACAAACAATAATACATGTATATTTTGAAAGAAGGACTTGTTAACACCAACTTTGTAGGGAAAAACATCTGAAAGTTATAATTGACCACAGGCAAATATGACTGCAAACAAAAGCCAAAGACTAATTTTCATTCATTATTTGAAATTAATCAGACCTGTGTTAGAGACTTGTATTTTATGTATAAAAAAGGTCTAAATACTAAATACCAATAATCCACTGAACTAATAAGTGTTATTAAAATTTGATATTCATAAATTAAAATTAGTGTGCCATTAGAATTTATCAAATATTTAATATTCTGCTAAGAAGTCTGGTTGCCACACAATAGTCGGCAATGTCAGAAAGCTCTTACTGGGCACACACATACAAATAGTTGGAGTTCCCACTATTTCAGTGGGAAATTCTTTGATTTTGATGCATCATCAGTATTATTCTTTCTGTTTAACTTAAATTTATGTTACTTTAGGCTTCACCATAGTCAATTTTGTATCACTTGTGCAAAGGTTGGATGGATATTTTCATAGAAAGTCTTTCTGTCCTTTATGGGTTTTGTCATATAATTATTTAATAAAAAGGTTTTAAAATATAAACCAGTGTTCATTATAAAAAAACTATTAAAAGAATGAATAAGCAACCCACAGAGAGGAAGAAAATATTTTAACATATATACCCAACAAAGGACCCAGATCCAGAATATATAAAGATCTCCTGTAAATAAAAAAGAAAAACATAAGCAACCCATTAGAAAAATGGTCAATAGACTTTCACAGATGCTTCACAAAAAAGATATTCAGATGTCCAATAAATAGATGCAAAAGTGTTCAGCTTTATTAATCAGAGATGTAAATATTAAAACCACAATATAATATCACTACACAAACATCAGAATGGCTAAAATTAAAAAGGCCTTATATCAAGTGTTGGCTAGCATATGGAGCAATCACTCTCATATACTACTGATTTGGGTGTAAATTTGTATAGCAAATTTAAAAACTGTTCAAAAGTATCCATTAAAATGAAACATATGCATACTCATGACTTAGCAATTCCACTGCTAGGTGCATACAGAGTAGAAATAGATTCCTACATATAGTCACAAAAAATACATTACTAGAATGATCACAACAACATTATTTCATAGCAGCACTATTTGTAATATCCCAAACATTGGAAGCTATCCAAATGCCCATCGACAAAAGAATAGATTAAAAATTGTCATATGTTCACACAATGGAATCTTACACAGCAATGAGAGTGAATGAACTACAACTGAATGTAATGACAGAGATGACTCTCTCAAACATAATTTTGGGCGCAAAAAAACAGACATAAAAAAGTACGTATTATGTTATTACATTTATATAAAAACATACAAAATTAAACTAGGCTGTTGAAGTCATGATGTTACTTAAATTTGGGTGGCAGAATGTAAGTAACCAAAGGGGACACAAGGGGATATCCTGGATGCAAATAATTTGGTTTCCTTATTTGTTTCTGGCTATTTGTGAGTATTTAACTGGTGAAAATTTGTAGAGCTGTACACCTATAATGTGCACTCATCTGTATTACATTATACTTCAATAATGTTCTAATATCTCAATAGGCAGAACATGTAAATACACAGCCTAACCACCCCTAAAGTACATGTTCGGTGGCATTTCATGGTTATCATCAAAGGTGTTTTGTTTCATTTCGTTTTGTTTTGTTTTGTTTTGTTTTGTTTTGTTTCACCACTGGAAAGTGAAGTAAAGAGGTATTTAATTCTGCTTCCATGGCAAAATAGCTAATTATCAAGGTTACAGACGAAAAGTCTAAAGGTAACTCCAGGGCCCACTTCATGAGTGTGAAACCCATGCAGTCACACAGGGCCCCGTGATTGCTTTAATGACCTGCTGTCGCCATCTTGAAATTAACAATATTTCTTCAACACGGGGCCCACATCTTTATTTTCCACTTATCCTTGCAAATTATGTGACAGTCCTGGGTAACTGATTTACTTTTTTTAAGTATCAGAGGTAGTCTCTGCATTCAAAAATTAAGAAAAAATAAGCTTATATTATGATGAGAAATACTTTGATTGGAAATAAGAAAGGCCTGGCACATCAGTGAAATAGTTCCTTACATATGGATATTCAAACAGATGCACAAAAATGAATTAATAAAAGAAACAGACTAGGGGGATGAGTAATGACAATTTCAAAATGATTATTAAAAAATGACTATTGGGTAGTTTTGTGGAAAGACAGGCAATCAGGCCAAACAACATGGCATATCCTTCTTACCCGGATAATTCTATGAAACAATTCAACAACTTATCATTAATTTGTCTTAGCATATCAGTAAAGCTTTCTTCTTTTCTTTTCTTTTTTTTCTGGAGATACAGTCTTGCCCTGTCACCCAGGCTGAAGTGCAGTAGTGTGATCTCGGCTCACGGCAACCTCTGCCTCCTGGGTTCAAATGATTATCCTGCCTCAGCCTCCTGAGTAGCTGGGACTACAGGAGCCCAACACCATGTCTGGCTAATTTTTGTATTTTTAGTACAGATGGGATTTCACCATGTTGGGCAGACTGGACTGGAACTCCTGACCTCAAGTGATCAACCAGCCTCAGTCTCCCAAAGTGCTAGAATTACAGACGTGAGCTGCCGTGCCTGGCTGGAGTAAAACAATTTTTTTTACAAAAAATATTCCCTTGGCAATATTGAAAATGTGGATTAAAAGTGTGAGTTACTTCAAAGGCATGAGACATTCATTCATCAATCCATCTATCCTTTTAATCATCCATTCATTCTTCCACTCACCTATCTACTCATCACATTGGAAGGAAAAGAAATACAAAAATAAACCTTGCCTGGATTCCATCTTAAAGAAGATACAACATATCTATAAATAAATGTCAGACAAGATAGAAAATATGTCCTGAGAGATATATTTGTTATTTAAAAAATTTGGTGGAAAAGCAATGACTTCAGGCTGGAAAAAGTCAGAAATGCTTTTATAAAAAAACATAGCCTGTATATTGTAATTTGAAAACTAGATAAGATTTTGACGTGCACAGAAATTTGGAAGATGTTTTATTCTTGTTATTTCTTTAATACCTAACTCACGTATCCTCTGCTCTAGGAAAATTGCCCTCACTCTTTTCTACTTACCATCATAGCTAGACTGAGTCTTAGATTTACATTAAAAAAATGGAATAATTTTAAGGACAAAAACAAACCTATAACTATACATCATGAATTCAGATAAAATATATTATACACATTAGGAATTGAATGCAGTTTAAATTCAGTAAATGTCAACTACTTAACTGAAACACTCCAAATTCTTTCGCTTTGAGGTGTAGCTAGTAGTTCAGAGAACAGATTCTAGAACTTTCAATCTGTATGACTTTGAATTCTAGCTCCAATTCTCACTAGCTTTGCAAACTGAGGTAAGGTGCTTAATCTCCTATACTTCTAATTCTTCACCTATAAGTTAGAGATAATAGTATAATTTTTATAGATTTATTGTGAGGAAAAGATGAGTTAGTATATTTAAATTCTAGTTATTATTATTATATGTATTCAGAAACTATATTCAGTTTTTTACATATAGTTCATGCATTGTATGATTTTAGAGACATTAGTAAGGATCCTTGCCTTAAAAACCACCTTTCCTTGTTTATTTCTTGTTGCCTTAATGTCTACCATCACAGATTCATTTTGTTGCCTTAAATATTCTATGTTTTTCAAAATTTAATTTCTAATTTGAGCTTGAGGAATAGAATAACGTTTTCCTTCTTCTCTAGTTCCTTATATTTTCCTCACCCTTACTTCTAATAGACTTCCTTGAACCAAATAGCTAGAATGATCCTGTTAAAGTAATATAGATTGGCTAGCATTGTGAGACAAACCACCTCGAAACTTAGAGACTTTAAACAACAATGATTTATTATTTCTCATGATTTTGTGAATTAGCTGGTGATATGGTTTGGCTATGTCCCCACCCATATCTCAGCTTGAATTGTATGTCCCAGAATTCTCATGTGTTGTGGGAGGGACTCGGGGGGATGTAATTGAGCCGTGGGGGCCAGTCTTTCTCATGCTACTCTCATGATAGTGAATAAGTCTCATGAGATCTGATGGGTTTATCAGGGGTTTCCGCTTTTGCTTCCTCCTCATTTTTTCCTTGTTGCCACCAAGGAACAAGTGCCTTTTGCCTCCCACCATGATTCTGAGGCCCCTCCCAGCCATGTGGAACTGTAAGTCCAATTAAACCTCTTTTTGTTCCCAGTTTCGGGTATGTCTTTATCAGCAGCATGAAAATGAACTAATACAGTTGGGCTATTCTTTTGCTAGTTTTATCTAGACTTACTCTTGCATTCAGCCGGAAGCTAAGCTGGGCTAGAAGATCCAAGGTGGCCTCACAGGTCTGGTAATTGGTTTGGCTCTTGGCTGGGAAAACTAAGTTCTCTACACATTGTAATAAAATTTTAATGAAAAGAGCTGTAAAATAATGCAGCCATGTTTTTCAGTCTACCTCAGTCCACCCTCCAATTATGATGACTTCCATTCCTCACCCATGCAAAACATTGCTCATCCTTCCCCTCCAACTCTCCTCTCATTACAGAATCAGACAGAAACCCCACTATCTCACAATCTACATCTAGTTCAGATATAGGCACAACTTCTTGGCTGCATTTATGTGGGTCCAGAGAGCTGTTTTCTAGAGACTAATTATTAAGATATCCATCATACAATGATTAGAGAGAAACTAGAGAACTCCATTAGACAGTCCCCTTCAAAGGGAATAACAGAAAGCACACAGAACACCTAACTTGAAGCAATTCTACGGTACAGCTGGACATATGCTTCCAGCTCCCAAGAAAATATGGTAGGTCCAAGATGGCTTCTGGGATGCCATCATTCCCCTTCATGTGGCTTCTCATCCTCCAAATAGCCAGACTACCTTCAGTACATGGTGATCTCAAGGTAGCATCCAAAGTGAGCAAAAGGAAAAGATGCCTCTTGAGACTTAGCCTTGAAAATTAAATAACATCACTTTTGCCAGATTGAAGCCTTGCATTGATGATTATGCAATTTTCACTGAGATCCAAATTCATCCTTCTATACTCTGCTTTGTTGTAATGATGGAGGTGGGACTGAGCAGATGATGTTTGACTTTGCCAGTGGAGTCAGAGATAACAGAGAGAGACTGCAAAATTGGAGAAAGGAAAGTGGACTTGCTTCTCCCAATTTGGTCCCTATATTCTTGTGGTTCATGTGAGTGCATCACTGCATCATCACTTCTTCACACCCAGTAGCAGGTCCTTCTCATGGCAGGAACCTAATCTAGTTGATCATTTTCTCAACACATGGTACTGATCTGGTCAGGATCCCTCAGCGACTCTGACAAAAGCTGGCCAACATTCCTTCCTCAGAGGTTTGATTTGTTTTGCTTCATGGTACACTTCCTCTAACTTGCTAAATTGAAATATTCTAATCTCTTTTGACCACCCCTAAGGGACGTAGCTGCTTCCTACCTCACTGATAATTTAGTGTTCTCTTTTTTATTGAATGACCTACTTAACACTTTTATACTTAGTTATAAACATTTATTTATATTCAATTATCTCAAGTAACTAGGTTTCCACCTCCAGAATGGACTCTGAATGATATGATTCCATCTCTTGCTAGGAAGAGCTACAAAATATTGTGGTTGTGTTCTTCATTCTACCACAAATGGTGAGACAAATCATGATATTTCTTTCTTTAAACTCTCCAAGGCCTTTTCATCTCATTCAGAGTAAAAGCTCAAGTCCTCTCGAAGGCCACAATGGCCTCCTTGCTGCCCTTTGAACATGTTATACTCCTGCCATAGAGATTTCATGTTTGATTTTCCATCTGCCTGGAAGATTCTTTCCCCAGATGGCTATAGGGCCCACTTTCTTATCCTCTCAAGTCATTGCTCAAATGTCACTTTCTCCCTAAAGCCTCTCTTGACCACCTTATTTAAAATTGAAGCAATCCCTCCCAACCAATATCTAGTACCCCCTATTTCTCTTTCTTCTTTCATTTTTTTCCATAGTGTGTATAATCAGTTAACTTATTTTACAATTTATTTACTGCCATCCTCCACTTCTCCCAACCTTAGAATTTAAGGGACAATATTTTTAACTGTTTTTTTTTCTATGCTGTTGCACCCAGACTTAAGAAAAGGGTTTATCATAGAAGAGATTCTCAGTAAGTTTATAAAGAAGTTGCTCTTCAGACTTATTGAATTAAGATTATTTTCCAGTATAGTCATGTGTCACATAACAACTTTTCAGTTAACAGCAAACTGCATATAAAATGGTGTTCCTGTAAGATTATAATTCTGCATGTTTAAAGTACCTTTCCTATGTTTAGATATGTTTTAATACACAAATACTTACCATTGTGTTACAATTGCCTACAATACTCAGTACGGTAACATGCCAATACTCAGTATATAACATGCCTAGGTTTGCAGTCTAGGCACAATAGGCTATACCATATAGTCTAGGTGTGTAGTAGGCTAGACCATCTATCTAGGTTTGTGTAAGTGCACTCTATGATGTTTGCACTACAACACAATTTCCCAATGATGCATTTCACAGAATGTGTCCCTGTCATTAAGTGATGCATGACGTACATTAAATTATAAACACTGCAATGCAAATGAGTTTATAAGAGCTTCTTCTTAAAGTCAAAAGGGTGAAATGGAGAAAACATTAAAACATTAAGATTTTAAAGTGTCAAAGAAAACAGGCTACATAAGGGAGCCCCAGAAGAGCTTGAAGATAAGAGTAAAAGATACAAAAAACCAATCAGCTATAATCCTATTTATAAAACTAGGATGGAAGATATGTGGGAAGTGCCTTGGAGTAAACAACATTACATTTGGAGTAAACTATCCACATTTTGTACTTTTCTTTTTTTTTTTTCCAACTCTGCTGCTTGCTATAAATAATATTTTAACAACTTGGCTTTTCTTGCCCCTGAGTTCTACATTTCTAAATTAAGGAAAATAATTTTATCTAGCTTTTCTCGGAGGGTCGATGTAATTTTCAAGTGAGATCATGTATGTATAGTGTATGCGCAGATATAAAAATTTAGGCTACTGCTGCTGCTGATGTGACCTCTATTAGATGGGAGTAGGATAGCTACACAGGCAGAATATGCCGAAGAAGTCCCTAGTAAACCCTCTGCCAAGAAAAGTTGAGGCATAGCCATCTTCAGCTTCAGGGTTACTGACTCTTCATCTGGGATGCAATTAGAATGATTACTTTTTAAATCTGTTATGTATTTTGTGTGTGCCATGCCCTTTCCATTGAATTGGAATTCAACTGTAGTCATTTACCCTATTTAATTAATTTTCTTTTATTTTGCATATTTGGAATTAGGGGCTCAGGAATGTCATATGCAAATATATGCAAACCCGCATGCAAATTGGTATTGAGCACAAAAAGCCAGTTTTTTTTTCTTGTTTGGTTTTTTTGTTTGTTTTATTTTTTTTCTGACAGGAACATATCATTGGAAAAAATGTCCCGCTCACAAGCCTACTGGGGTTTAGCTTTTTAGAAGAGTCGTTATTGTTTAATAGGAGCTTACGGCTACAAATGATAGGAATAAACCTTTATACCATATTTAATATAGGAGAAGCTCATAAAGTTAGCAACTTGGGTGCAATTGACCTTATTTTTCTTTGTGAATATTTCTGTAGCCTTGAAAACTTAGCTGGAGAAGAGTCTGAGTTGATGGGAAATGGGAATAAGAGGTGAAGTGGCTCCTGTCTCTCACACCTGACATGCCATATGTCAAGCCACCAATTCACACATTTCTGTACAATTAAATGATAAATGCTTTTTGTTTATTTTTATAATTAAATGAAGTCTGAGAAAAGAGATATAAAATCAGTGGACTTTTCTGCTCCATGCTGAGAAAGTGATCTTATTCCACAGTTAAATTTACAGTAATTGTATAATGCCTCTGAATCTCTGAAAATTGTAAAGAGTCTATAATGTAAATTTCCTTATATAAGCTATACTATTATTTGGAGTATACTTAAATAATATATTCTTACTAAGCTCAAATTAGTGCAAGCTTTTGATACAGAACACCCAAAAGGCTGGACTATAATCATAAAATAGTTGCAAAAGGAAATGCTTGAATTCCAAAAAGTCCTTAAGATGGCACATCTTTATTATTATTTTTGCCATACTAAATCATTTTTTATTAGTCTGACTACTAGCAAGAGAAAGCTTATATACCTATTCTAAGTAAGACTGCATCAATCTGCTTTTGAAAAATTTTAAATTACAAAAAACTGACTTCACATAGCACTTCATAATTTCCCTCATCAAATCCTAAAGACTATATTAAAACATCTGTTTTTAGAATATCTTGCTGACAGTAGAATGCTATACCCCCAGGGAGTCTCCTAGTTTTGCATACAATTTGCATACTCATAAATAAGTTAACATTGGTAGGGGACAAGAATATCGGCTGCAAACAATGCAGGTTTTTCCATATATTATTTTTATACTTAGAGCAGAGAAATCCTAGATTTTTTGAAAACTGATTTTCTCTCCAACGATATCTTTGAAATTAGACTATTAATCCTTTATAAAGATTTTTCTCTCTTAATTTTTTCTACCCTGCCCTCAAAAATCCAAAGTTACCTCAGGTTGTCTCAGTATTCAGGGCAAAATATATTGAAACTGTGTGCAAATAGTATTTAAAGTGTGGCATATATGTTAGGCTCTAAAACCAAATTTTATCATAATTTTATAGTAATATATGCATATCCTGGATTGTAAGACATCTGGAGTAAGGCTGATCCTCATCTTCTCTTATGCTGGCACAGAACAACTTTATACTCCTGCAGTCATAGCAATTTACACAATCTAGTCAAATACTAAGACAGGACACCAAGCTTTTTTTTTTTTTTTTCTTCCATTTAGTTAACTGTGTGCTTTCAACTCTCTGAGCTTGAAAGGAAACTTACCTTCTCCAATGTTTATTTTAGTCTCACACAAACCTAGGGAATAAAGGAGAACAAAAGGAACATTACTCCATATATATAGACAACTGTCAAATCTGTTTGCTACAGTCAGCATTATTACATTGTTAATGTAATAATCATATTATTAATGTAACAATTATTATATTGTTGCCAAAGACTATTATTCTAATATAATGAGTAGGAACTAGTTTCCTGTGGTCAGGAGGCATTGCTGTGTGGTGAGTGAGGCCAGGATAAAGGTGCAGAATCAGGTACTTATTCACCACATCTGTACATGAGAAACTGCTATTACTACCATCAGATCTGCACTACATTTAAGCTTTCCTTTATTGATAGCCTGGCATCAGCGGGCATGGAAGTGAACTTAGACTCCTCTCAATTCATTTTCTTGCCTTCTAACTCCTCTATTTTAAAGTCACCCTACCCCATAAAAATCTCTCTTCATGTAAGGTTTGAATATACTGGATTAGGGACACAGTGGGGGGTGCGGAGTTTGGAGGAGAAACATCTGCCAAGAACTGTGAAGGATCTGAAATTTTACTGCACTTTCAGTCTAACAAGTTAGACCACTGAGGTTTCATGGATATTGGCCAAAGACTTAAGACTCCTGGTTCAAAGACCAGGGACCATTTAATACTTACATAATAGGAGGAGTCAGAGAGTCTGTATTTGTGCTAAACTCCAGTTTCCACACGGACATGCACAAAGGGGTAAATGATAGCTGCACATGCAGTGGGTTGCATTGCACAGATAAGCCCTGAGCTTAGAGAACTAAAATCTTTTATACTGGAGAGTAAGCTTTGCTCTGAGAGAAGATGTTGACTATAGAAACATATTTTTAAAAGCTAGTACAGCAAAAGGAAAGTCAGCCCCCCTGCTCATAAGATGTGCAGAAACAGGAAGGAACCAAGAAAAATGGTCTCCCAGCAATATTTAACTCCATTCTTCTAGATGCCTTACCAAAAAATGATTTCTAAGGAGTCACAGCCATCATTCAAGCACCTGAGTGTTTGACCTTGGAAACAGAAATAGGAACAGGGTAGAAAATAAGAGAAGGTAGCAATAATTATCGGAAAATTTCTTAGCCATATTTTCCAAGGGGAAATGTAAACATTTTTGTTAAATGCAAATATCTTTGGGGAAATAAGCCATTATAACAGCCATATTATTAGCTTATGAAACAGCTATTATGGATGTTTAATACTAGTGTTCTGAATTTGTTATACATTTTACATTTCATAGGTTTATTCTACCTATACAACAACCCTGCATGACAGGCAAGTATGTACCTATTATGACATTTTATATCTGAGCAATGTTCTGTCTCTGAGGCACAGAGAGGTTAAGTAACTTATTCAAGGCCAAATATATTTGAATCATTCAATTATATGGTAACATGGTTAGTAATATAGCAACATACTTTGTCCTAGAATTATAAATATATATATTGCCCAACCCTTAATACATAAACATAAATATAAAAATATACATAATAGATAGAATTGAGTGTTGGATATACTTTTGTGGTGTTTAGAGGGCAGATTATATTATAAAAGCGCTGCTTCAGAGCAGAACAAAATTTTCAAAAGACGGACCCTCAAGTTGTTACCCTGGAGTATATTTCCTGATTAACAAGAATATCAACCAAGTTGTTTAAATTTCCCAACAACTTTAAAGATACTACTTTGGGAGGCCAAAGTGGGCAGATCACAGGGTCAGGAGATCGAGACCATCCTGTGAATGGTGAAACCCCATCTCTACTAAAAATACAAAAAATTAGCCGGGCCTGGTGGCGGGTGCCTGTAGTCCCAGCTACTCGGGGAGGCTGAGGTGGGAGAATGGCGTGAACCTGGGAGGCAGAGCTTGCAGTGAGCCGAGATTGCGCCACTGCACCCCAGCCTGGGCGACAGTGCGAGACTCCATCTCAAAAAAAAAAAAAAAAAAAGAGAGATATTACTAATGCTAAAATGTATTGTCTTTTTGTAAACTACTTCAAGCTCCTCTAATTAAAGATGGTTCCTTAGTGAGGTAGCATCAACTAATCTGCCAAATTGAAATCGTCTATAAATGAGGAGACTAATTCTGTTTACCATTTAACTATAGAAAAAATTTATCAAACTAAGTGTATTCAAATCATTTGGCGAATATCTGTAAAAAAGAGCAAATAAAAACTCTTCAAGGGAGGGGAGGGAGAATTTGTTTTTCATTTATGTTAGAAACAAAAGCCTATCACAAAGTGTCATAGTGTTGTGTTTCTTTTTTAAATCTGTAACAAAGTAGCAGATTGCCAAAAAGGGTTAAAGACAACATGGTCCATGACTTCTTTCAGCTCTCAAGAGTGTGGCAAAATGTATTATTTGGCATAATCATGACAAAGATCTGCATGTGTATGTCTTCAATAATTCATGTTGCAGCTTGTCTCACTGTGGGGACAGATGTCAGTGAAACCAGTGACAGCCGATCATGCTGATCCCATACATAATCACGTGTGGCTGATCCCACAGCGACACAGAGCCTTGACTAAATGCCCACTAAGTTCTGTCGAAGCTAAGAAAATATGGGCCGGCAAGTTTGAGTGTATTCATTTTGTAACTACATGAAGTGTACATGTTTATATGTATGTATGTATAAAAACGTCCTACTTCCATACAATTTCCTAAGGATTTAGAAATCTTTATAATTTGAACTGGTTATATGTGGAAATATCCCTTACCTTTGAATATCATATTTATTAGGTCACTAAAAAATATATAGAAAATGTTGTTGACAAAATCAGTTATTTATCATTATTATCAAAACGTATGTGTCTCCTCCAGGTGATTTATAGTACTACCAATTTTGATTAATCTTTCATCACTAATTTATGTATAGTAATATATACAAATGTTACATATTCCAAAGATTAAACAAGCTGTTTTGACATATCTTTGTTTCTCATAATGACTAGTATTTTTTTAACATTAGGCATTAATCAAAAATGATCTTATCCTAGATACTTCGAAAGCAGTACAAATATATATCTGTCAGTAAGTGTCTATGAGCATTATTTAGAATGTAGACTACAGAACATGGAATATAGAAACATTCCTCCTGCCCTAATCCTTATGCATAAAGAAATACAAAGCTAGCCATTCCAAATCCTTTTAAAAGCCAAAGCGTTGTTTAGCATTTTAAAATACCAAGATGAGCTCCATTTATTCATTTCTTGAATGATATTAGAGAAAAATGTCAAGCTCCATTTATAACCTGCAGTACCTCTGATTAACTACCAGCAAACACTATGTGTATGTTTGTGTGTGTGTATAAATGTGTGTATGTACATATATATGTATACATATATGTATGTATATGTATTTATTTGTATATGCATATATATTTTGAAATATTCAGCAGAACAAAACATTGACATTTACGTTTTCTTTAGTAACATGATGTGTTATTTTGCAATTTTTGACTTGTCCTTAGACATAAGGTGTTTTGATTAGCTTTTGAGTCATTGCATTTTTCTTGATGATTTTTTGTGTTGCAGAGGAAGTTACTGATTTATTCCTAATGATTCTTTTAATCTGTTATTTCCTCTCTAAGATCAGTACACTTAGGGAAAAGGCATTGATTTTTCATTATCCCAGGATTAAACTGTTTTTGAGATACTCTCTGTGTCAGGGAATCTCATTGATGCTACCAGGCAAACTGTTGCCCAACACTGGGTACCATTTTTCTTTGGAGGTGCACTTACATAAACATTTCTAATCACAGCTTTGTAAAGAGACACGGTATAATAATTCATGACTTTTAGGTAATATGTCACATGAATCTTAACATATGGCATTGCACTCTACAATGGCAATCTTGGCTTCAAAAGGGACCTGGAAAACATCCAGTGAGATGAGAATAAGCCAAACTTGAAAGAAAACCATATCGATGCTAATCCAGGTTTGCACCTTTCATTCAGACTCGGAACTCTCTAGCAGATGGTTCAGTGTTGAAGCACTAATGTTAGCGAAATGTCAAAACTATTTTGCTAGACTCCCCAATTGTTCATACAAACTATTTTTCAAGTACTTGATATCAAAATAATATTAATAAATCATAGCACTTGGGTCTCTGATCACAAGTGCAGGGTTTTAGTTTCAATTGCCAAAGACAATCTGGCTTTGCTCCTTTGGAATATAGCCAATTAGTTTTTACAAAGGAAAATCAAATTTTAGAAAATTTCCCCCCAATTCTTTAGCCAACAAGGACCTACTCAAAAAAGACAAAGGAATGCAGGAACTTTTGGAATATAGCATTGTTAGTAACTGCTATATCAATTTAATCATCCAAACGAATGTCATGAGATAGAGACTCTAAATCAGAGTTTCTTATTCTGGGATTCATGGGCATAGAGAAAAAACTAAATGGGCTTCAGAGAGTCCAAAAACCATTTGAATCTGGAAGCAAACATGGGTGTGGGGGTGCATGTGCCTGCTGTTCTGTATACATACACATATACAATGAATATACCAGATGAAAATGAATGAATGAGACCCTCATATGAGGATGTAGCAGTGGTTTCAGTATGTTACAGAAAGTTGAAATTACATGTGTAAAACAAGAGTGAATGTATCTGCACCTAGACAAAAACATTTTTAAGCATTAATTGATCACCTAATGTCTATTAACATCTAAACTATCTCTAAGTATTTTTTCTTCTACTATTCAAAAATATCTCCTAAAGTAGAAATTAAGAGCCCTGTTTTGCAGACAGCTAACCACTAATGTCTCAGAGGGCTTATCTGGAGTCCCCAAATGGCTACTCCAGAATTAGTCTTCCTGATTCAGAATTTCACGTCTACTCCTTTAATGATTGTTTCTACCTCAGTATAGCCAGACTATAACCCCAACAGCAAAAGACAGTTTGCCGAGTCTATGATAGCACAGAAAAACATACTCATAGGAGAACACTTTCAAGAAATCTTTTTTTCTCCCAGATTTTTTTATGCAACTCCAAAGGATATCAATGTTATTATTCTCAAGAGGTGTGTTTCTCTTTGCAAACTCCGTATAGCAGCCATTATAGTATATTTGTCTATCAACGTTAACTGACAAAACAGAAGTGGGAATTTCCAACACATCTGTTCAAGTCTTGCCCATTAGCCCAATGCAAAGCATGTAGGCATACCACCCTGGGAGTCAGTTCATATCAGGACAGCAATTTATCCTGTTCTTCTATGACTGTGTTCCCAGGAGTGGGGTCATTGATAGAAAGACTCAAGTGTAGCACCTAAGAGGCTAGGCCAAATAAAAACTGAATAATGATTAGTAAAAATTAATTTAAGAAATTTAAGAGTTGAAAAGAGGTATCGTGTTCAAATTAGATCTAGCCATTCAAGACTAATTCTGTACAGTGAATCTTCACAAAAGTGTCATTTGTATGTCACTGCTAGACTGACAGCATTGTTCCAATTTTGTGACTCTTATATAAGTGACTGCTTAGATATTTTCCTCATTTCCAAATCCTAATTTGCTTTTCTTACTATATCTATTAGGGTTAACCATGGTTTTATTTTCATATTTGTTCATTTTCAATTGCATCCCTGAAGACTGTCCATATTTCTTTAATGTTGTGACAGGAATTCTTTGCTGAAGCTAAAAAAAACAAACAAGAATGAAACAAGCTAAGAGAATAACACTGTATCCCATTTTTTCATTTAAAATATGTTACAAAACAGCTTTCGGTTAAAAAATTTTTGACAGTGTATATTCAATTTTTCAACTAACAGATGCACGTACATAAAATTATATGATTGAAATTCAGTGTCAGGGGCTTTAGTCATTTAATTTTGGGAAAACCCAAGGCATTGGTCCATAATATTGCTCTTGAAATATCCCTATTTAATAATGGGAAGGTAGAATGTCTATGAAGTGATAATATGGATGTATTTATTAAATTTTAAAATGATAGTTGATATGAAAATTTTAAAAATAAAATTACTGTGATCTATTTTTTGAATTAAAAGTGATTTTCTTTGTTTTTTGTAAGAAAAAAGTCACAAGAAGATTGAGTGAGCAATATATGACTACTATAAGAAGAAATCAAGTTGTCTTAGGACTTCTATTTCATAGTTCTTCATTCTAAAACCTCAATGATTGATAATGTGTTTATTAATTGAGAAATATTAGGACTATTAACTATTTAATGTTAAGAAAAGGAGGACATTGAGAAGTATTTATGAGGTTTTCTTCATTTTCTTATAAAGGTTAAGAGAAATATAGAGACTAAGTGGCCTTAACAGCAATAGAAAAGTGCTTTTAGCAAAGACAATCCAGCAGGGAAGAATGTTTGAAATTGTGAAGTCTTGTTTGAAAGTGGTCTACAGCAGTCTTACTTAAAGTGCCAGTCTGGGAATGTAAATCAACTACATCAAAAGCACACTGTTTGGTTCAGCTACATTTTTTCTTTTCATTATAAGACATTCTCAATAAAGGATGCAATGTGTTGTTTTACATTCTGGGGCAAGCTCCCTTGTGCATGATGAACTGGTAACAAACTGTTTAGATATTGTTGCCAGTTGGCTAACCACTTTGTGTAGCATTTGTCTAAAGAAAGACAATTTAATGCACCATCACTGTTAAATATTTCTTCCTAATCAAGACTAAAAAAATCACTTGTGAATAACAGCAGGACTTTAAGATAGAGAGCTGATTCTTTTTCTAATCAATTGTGTTTTTTCATCACAAATAACTGTAGGAGAGTTTTAGAAAAGTATACTACTCTTAAGGGAAAACTGCAAGTACAAAAATAAAATTTGGAGAGTGAGCACAAAAGACCAAAAGTTCACATGTGTAAATTGTATTATCTTCAGTGATCTTCCCACAATTAACAGGCAGAGGGCAATTGTGAATGTTTATTTTCTTTTTATTGTGAATTAAACTGTCCTATACCTAGGGTTACAAGTCAAGCAGCATTGACCATTTTCCACTCAGGAATGAGGGGATTGAACTTGACAAGCACCTGTCTGTATTAGCTTAGGCCTTCTTGGTTATGTAATGGCAATACAGAGAATGGCAACTAACATATATTTGTCTACAAATAGGACCAAATATATGTCTAAAATATTCTCAAGCTAGAGATACGTTATGATAATTCTAGGAGGGAAATGCAGCCTTCCTTCAGGGAAATATAGGCAATCCACTATTTTTATAATTTCGGAAGGTAATCTGGTATACACCTAAGAATCCAAAGTTTTCTCACACTCTCTTATGTTTTTAATAGACAGAAATATTAAATACATCATTTATATAATAACTAAGATTATTTCAAAAGATAGCAATTTTGCAATACCAGTTCCCTTCAGCATAGAGCAGTCACTGGGCACCCAGAGTCAGATGCCTTAAGTCTTAGTTTTATCATCTGAATTCCAACACAGACTGGATGATCTTAGGTAAGTTACTCTGTCTTCTTCTGCCCAGTTTACCAATCTAAAAAATGGAGTTGATCACAGGATTTACCTCCAGAGTAAGGATTATGTGAAATAACTGAGTAAAGAGGTTAGCACAATGGTGGTAAGCTCTCAAGAGATGTTGCTTTTGCTATTCAATATGATGATTCCACTTAACCCAGGAGGCTTGGTTTTATAAAGGTGTCAAGGTTAACTAAGAATCTGGTGTCCTAAGTAGGGGTAGGCATTATTATTTATAAGGATGCATCGACCTTAAAGAAATGTGTTTTTCCTATAAATTCAACATGACCACCAACAAATATTATACATTCAATATTTTTAAAGAAAAAAAATGAAAGTATATTTTACCTTTAGCTTTTGGACCTTTTGTTTGAGACATGGCTCTATCAGAAACAATGGCTTTGTTATACAATATTTTATTCTAGGAAAGATGGATCTGAATATTCAATAGGGCTCCAGGCTAGTGATTTTGTGGTTAGGTGTCTTGTCTTTCACGAAGCCCTTGACAAAGGTCACAAACAATTTGCTCATTCCTCTTATTAAAATAAAGATGGAAAGCATTGATGATAACTCTGCCCAGCAGCTAACTTCATTATCTGTAGTGGTTTCAACATATGCTTGTGAGATAATGAAAAATATAGCATTAAATACAGTGGCAGATTGAATCTTGTTTCAGGGTAAATATAGTAAGTCATTTTTTTCCCCTCTTCATTTTCTCAGAACCTGTTTAGCATTAGACTGTTAATATCATTACTGATACATGACAAAACCATTGCATAATATACTGCATTTGAGACAACCCCCATAAAAAGGAGCAACAGAAAACTATGAACATTAATCCAGTCTTCAAAATAATGAAGTGCTTCAAGCCAACCCTCTTCAAAAAACTTCCACTTACATAGTTTTGTAGGACAAACAGTTTTATAAATCTGACATGGTTTTCTGGTCCCATTTAATATTATGAAAACCTCATTTTTCAGGGTTAGTCAATATGAAAAGTTTTAAACATCTATTCTCTAGCCAATAATAAAAATCTCCTATACAATCTCTGTGATACAATCTTTTTTGAAAGTATGGTTTTTTTTCCTGCAAAAAAAAAAAAAAAAAACACACAAAGTTTGTCAATACTGGGAAGAAAGGAAGAATTATTTGTACTTTAATATTCAAGGGTTAAGAAAATACACAATGATTTTGAGCAACCAACATTTTGTCATGGTAAGTAGTTGCCTGGGGAAATTGTAGCTATTTAAAGAATATATGTATATGTATGTGTAAGTGTGTATGTGTGTGAGTGTAATTTTAAATTACCAATGATAAAAACATTTAACTCTAAATTCCAAAACAAATCACATAAGTAAACAATAATTGAATATGTGTTTGTATTAAGAACCATATCTCAGGAAAATTTTCTACATACACAAATAATTTTTTTAATCTCAGAAAAATGAAAATATTTCAGAATAAAAATATTTATTTATATTATTAATAAAGAAACTGAATTCGTTGCTGATATTTTGTTGACATTGCACTTTGGTTGGTGACTCCAGCGAAATCTGGGTCTTTACTGCTTCTGTGTCATGGTTACGTTTCTGTTCCCACCCCCACGTTCCTCACTACTAGATGCTAAACATATTGCCTGTCTTAAGTTGTTTTTATTACATCAGAGGTCAGTCCAAGTCCCTCACTCTGAACATCTCTCCTCTGCTGTCGCCATTATATTCCCCTTTCAGAAATGACTTACGGAAAAACAGCTTCCCTCTACTGGCTCTCGTTTACAGAAGCAATAAATGGCTCAGCTGCAGCCATTACTTCGGGATATAATTAAAATGGGGAATTGCAGATGCTATGGTTTCTTTTTTTTGATGCCTGATGATACAACCAATTGCATGAAACACATATGTTTATTTTTCATTCTTTGACAAGGACCACAGAGAACGTAAACATGCAACAAGGACAGGTTGTAGTATGTTTTTTAGTGTTATTGGAGATCACATGTTTTCAGAAGAAAAAACAACGATCAACCAGTGACTTCACATACTGTAGCCTAAGATTTAATGCTACTTTTTCCTTGAAACTTGAAATCTATCACATATCAATCCCAAATCTATTTTGGATTATGCCTATCTAGTCTTTCATAAGGGAATATTTTCCATGTGTTTATTTCAGATTTCCATTTATCTTTTAATTGTATATTTTTATACAAACTGATGTATAATTATAATACAGTGAAACTATAAAGCATAATAACAAAATAAACACCTGTTAACCTACCACCCAATTTAAGAAAAATAACATTACAAATTTGACAAGTATTGTTTTGAAAAATGTTTTACTTTTTTGTTTAAAACACTAATTCCTCCTGTAATTTCCTATTTGACCCATAGTTATTTGGTAGTGTGTTATATAATTTCCTAATATTTCAGTCAGGTGCGGTGGTTTACGCCTGTAATCCCAGAACTTTGGGAGGACAAGGTGGGCCGATCACTGGAGGCCAGGAGTTTGAGACCAGCCTGGGGAACATGGCAAAGCCCCGTCTCTGCTAAAATACAAAAATTAGCCGGGCGTGGTGGCGCCTGCCTGTAATCCCAGCTACTTGGGAAGCTGAGGCATGAGAATTGCTTGAACCCAGGAGGTGGTGATAACAGTGAGCCAAGGTTGCCTCACTGCACTCCAGCCTGGAAGACAGAGCGAGACCCTGTCTCAAAAAAAATAAAAAAAAAGGCAAGACCTGTAATCCCAGTACTTTGGGAGGCCGAGGCGGGCGGATCACGAGGTCAGGAAATCGAGACCATTCTGGCTAACACAGTGAAACCCCGTCTCTACTAAAAATACAAAAAATTAGCCGGGCGTGATGACAGGCGCCTGTAGTCCCAGCTACTTAGGAGGCTGAGGCAGGAGAATGGCGTGAACCCAGGAGGCGGAGCTTGCCAGTGAGCCGAGATTGCGCCACTCACTGCACTCCAGCCTGGGGGACAGAGAGAGACTCTGTCTCAAAATAATAATAATAATAATAATAATAATAATAATAATAATAATAATAATAATAAATAAAAATAAAACAAATAAAAAAGGAAACCTAATATTTATACATTTTCCCGTCTCTACTAAAAATGCAAAAATTAGCTGGCCGTGGTGGCGCGCCCCTGGAGTCCCAGCTACTCCGAAGGCTGAGGCAGGAGAATCGCTTGAACCCGGAAGGCAGAGCTTGCAGTGAGCCGAGATCGCACCACTGCATTCCAGCCCGGGGACACAGCCAGATGCCGTCTCAAAAAAAAAAAAAAAGAAAAAAAGAAAGAAAGATATTGACATCTCTAACTAGAATTGAAGGCTTGTCTATTTCATTTCTGTCCATTTTCATGTCATGTATTTTGAAGCTATAGTATTAAGTGTGTGAACCTTTAGAATTGTCCTTTCCTATTCGTGAATTTACCTTTCTTATTATAAAATGACTCTTTATCCCTGATAATAGATTTTCATACGTGGTAGGTTATTTCTCTATATATGTTTTATTTTTCTTCAGAGGTGTTTTGGTTGCTCACGGTCCTTCGCTTGTTTTGTGTATTTTAAAATTATCGGCTAGGTGTGGTGGCTTATGCCTGTAATCCCAGCACTTTGGGAGGCTGAGGTGGGTAGATCACCTGAGGTCAGGAGTTTGAGACCAGCCTGACCAAAATGGAGAAACCACGTCTCTACTAAAAATATGAAATTAGCCTGGCGTGGTGGTGCATGCCTGTAATCCCAGCTACTCAGGAGGCTGAGGCAGGAAAATCGCTTGAACCCGGGAAGCGGAGGTTGTGGTGAGCCGAGATCGTACCACTGCACTCCAGCCTGGGCTACAAGAGCAAAACTCCATCTCAAAAAAAAAAAAAAAAAAAAAAAAATGATCTTGACAATTTACCCAGAAGTCCCTATTGAGGTTTTTAAAAATTATTTTTATTTATTGATACATATTTGTACACATTATGGGGTAGAGTTATATTTTGTTACATGAATACAACGTGAAATGATCAAGTCAGGGTATTTTGGATATCCATCATATTGAGTATTTATCATTTCTATGTGTTGGGAACATTTTATATCCTCTCTTCAAGCTATTTTGAAATAGGCAATAAATTGTTGTTAACTGTAGTCCCTCTACTCTGCTATCAAACATTAGAACGTATTCCTTCTAACTGTATACTTATACCCATTAACCAACCTCTCTCTGTCCTCCCCTACTCCATGCACACACCAGTGCTCTGGTATCTATTATTCTACTCTATGTCTCCGTTAGATTAACTTTTTTAGCTTCCACATATGAGTGAGGATGTGTGGTATTTGTCTTTCTGTGTCTGGCTTATTTCACTCAACATAATAACCTCCATTTTCATCCATATTGCTGCAAATAACATGATTTCATTCTTTTTTATGGACAAATAGTATTCCATTGTGTATATATACCACAATTTCTTTCTTTATTTGTTAACGAATACTTAGGTTGATTCCATATCTTTCCTTTGTTAGTGTAAACATGAGAGTGCAGGTATCTCTTTGATAAACTCATTTCCTTTGTGTAAATGCCAGTAGTGGGATTGCAGGAGTGTATGGTAGTTCTCTCTTTAGTTTTTGTGAAATCTCTATGCTGTTTTCCATAAGCTATACTAGTTTATATACTCACAGTATATAAGTGTGTAAGAGATTCCTTTTCTCTGCATACTCTCCAGAATCTGTTATTTTTGGTCTCTTTATAATAGCCATCTGATATAGTTTGGATATTTGTCCCCCCCAAATCTCATGTTAAAATTTGATCACCAGTATTGGAAGTGGTGCTTAGTGGGAGGTTTTTAGGTCATGGGGGCAGATCCCTCATGCATGGCTTGGTGATCAACCCCAAGGTAATGAGTTGTATAATGCTAATATAGTTCTTGCTATATTGGTTCACACAAGAGCTGGTTATTTTAAAAAGTGTGCCACTTCTCCTCTTGCTATCTTGCTCTCTCTCTCACCATTTGACATGCCTGCTCCCCCTTCACCTTCTGCCATGATTAGAAGCTTTCTGAGGTCTGTATCAGAAGCAGATGCCAGTGCCATGATTCTTCTACACCCTGCAGAACTTTGAACCAAATAAACCTCTTTTCCTTATAAATTACCCAGCCTTAGGTATTCCTTTATAGCAATGCAAAATGGACAAAGACACCATTCTAACTGGGGTAAGATAATATCTCATTGTGATTTTAATTTTCATTTCCCTAATGATTAGTGATGTTGAGCATTTTTTCAAATACTTGTTGGCCATTTGTATGTCTTCTTTTCAAAAATGTCTATTCATCTCTTTTTTGCACTTTAGAATAAGGTTATTTTTTTACTGTTGAATTATTTGAGTTTCAACTTTTTGCATTCAATGTGATATTAACCATGACTTTGCCATATATGGTGTTTGTTATGTTGAGGTATGTTCCTTCTATGCCTAGGTTGTTGAAGAGTGTTTATAATGAAGGGATGTTAAATTTTATCAAATAATTTCTCCACATCTATTGAAATGATCATTTTTTCTTCATTCTGTTAATCATATGTATCATGTTTATTGATTTGCATATGTTGAACCATCCTTATATCCTTTGGATAAATTCCACTTGATCATGCTGTATTATCTTTTTAATGTATTGTTGTCTCTCTCTTTCTTTCTCTCTGTCTCTCTCTCTCTCTCTCTCTGTCTCTCTCTGTGTGTCTGTCTTCTGTCTTACTCTCTTCCTCTGCCTGACTTTCTGTCTTCTGTCTCTCTCTCTGTCTCTCTGACCCTGTCTGTATGTTTCTCTCCCTCTCTCTGTCTCTCTTTCTGTCTGTTTCTCTCTGTTTCTCTGTCTCTGTCTTTCTCTGTCTCTCTGTCTCTCTCTTTCTTTCTCTCTGTCTCTCTGTCTCTCTCTCTCTGCCTCTGTCTCTCTCTCTCTGCCTGTCTCTCTCTCTGTGTCTGTCTTCTGTCTTAGTCTCTTTCTCTTCCTGTCTGTCTCTCTCTCTTTCTGTCTGTTTGTCCCTCTCTCTCTGTCTGTCTCTCTCTCTTCCTGTCTGTCTGTTTTTCTCTCTCTCTCTCTCTGCCTGTCTGTTTCTCTCTCTCTGTCTCTCTCTGCTTCTGTGTCTGTGTCTGTCTTCTGTCTTACTCTTTCTCTGCCCGTCTGTATCTCTCTCTCTCTCTGTCTGTCTCTCTGTCTCTGTCTGTCTGGTTTTTTCTCTCTCTCTCTCTCTCTGTCCCTGTCTGTCTCTCTCTCTCTCTGTCTCTGTCTCTCTCTCTGTTTCTCTCTGTCTCTCTCTGTCCATCTCTGTCTTTCTCCGTCTCTTTCTCTGTCTCTTTCTTTCTCTGTCTCTCTGTCTGTCTCTGTCTCTGTCTCTCTCTCTGTCCCTGTCTGTCTGTTTCTGTCTCTCTCTCTCTCTTTCTGTTTTTCTCTGTCTTTCTCTGTCCATCTCTGTCTTTGTCTCTTTCTCTGTCTGTCTCTTTCTTTCTCTGTCTCTCTCTTTCTTTCTCTGTCTCTCTCTCTCTCTACCTGTCTCTCTCTCTCTCTCTCTGTATCTGTCTTCTGTCTTACTCTCTTTCTCTGCCTGTCTGTCTGTCTCTCTCTCTGTCTGTCTCTCTGTCTCTGTCTGTTTTTCTCTCTCTCTCTGTCTCTCTCTCTTTTTGTCTGTTTCTCTCTGTCTCTCTCTGTCCATCTCTGTCTTTCTCTGTCTCTCTCTCTCTTTCTCTGTCTGTCTTTCTCTCTGTGTGTATCTTTGTCTCTCTCTGTCTGTCTCTCTCTGTCTCTGTCTCTCTCTCTCTCTCTCTCGCTATCTCCCTTCCTCTCTTTCTTTGCAAAATAAGCTCAAGTAGATCTAATCTAATCCATTACCAAGGCCTGAATTCTTAATTTTAGACATCCCAGATTTGATCTCCCTACAGAATGCTGTACAGAACTGGCGAATTGATTTCTGGACTTGGAAACCTCATAGATACTACATATTAATAAAAATCCAATCCTAAATGTGGGGTTGCTTCTCCCTCAGGGAAAAAAAAAAATGTATCGTTGGATTCAGTTTGCTAGTATTTCGTTGAAGATTTTTTCATCTTTTTTTTTTTTTTTTGAGATGGAGTTACACTCTTGTTGCACAGGCTGCAGTGCAATGGTGCAATCTTGGCTCACCACAACCTCCGCCCCCCCCAGGTTCAGGCGATTCTCCTGCCTCAGCCTCCCGAGTAGCTGGGATTACAGGCATGCACCACCACACCCGGCTAATTTTGCATTTTTAGTAGAGACGGGGTTTCTCCATGTTGGTCGGGCTGGTCTCGAACTCTTGACTTCAGGTGATCCGCCCACCTTGGCCTCCCAAAGTGCTGAGATTACAGGTGTGAGGCACTGCGCCCAGCCGCATCTATGTTTATCAGCGATATTAGCCTTGAGTTTTCTATTTCATTGCGTTCCTTTTTGGCATTGGTATAAGCATAATGCTGGCCTTGCAGAATGAGTTAAAATAATTCCCTTCTCTTCAATTTTTTTAGAATCGTTTGATAAGAATGTTCAAGAATTCCCTCCTCTTCAATTTTTTTGAATAGTTTGAGAATAGTGTTCTTTTTTATAAACTTGGTCGAATTTGACAGTGAAGCCATTCACTCTTGGACTTCTCATAGATAAGAGACTTTTTATTACTGATTCAGTCTCATTGCTAGTTATTGGTCTATTCAAGTTTTCTATGTTTTTCTGATTTAAACTTGGTAGGTTGTACGTGTCCAGGAATTATTGCATTTCCTCTAGGTTTTCCTGTGCATTAGTGTATAATAGTTGCTGATGATCTTTTGTATTTCTGTGATATCAGTTGTAATATCTCTTTTTGTTTCTGACTTTGTTTTTCTTTGTTAGTCTAGCTAGTGAATTATAGATGTTATCTTTTCTCTTTGTTGAACCTTTGCTCTAGTTTTATTTCATTGTGGTCTGAGAAGATAGTTGATATAATTTTGACTTTTAAAAATTTGTTAAGACTTGTTTTGTGGCCTAAAATACAGTCTATCCAGGAAAATTTTTCATGTGCCAATTAGAAGAACATATATTCTGTAGCTGTTGGAAGAAATTATATCTAAATGTCTGTTAGATTGATTTTGTCTAAAATGCAGTCTATTTTTTAGTTTCTTATTTATTTGTTGTTATATTTCATCTTTCATTTTAGATTCGGGGGTACATGGGTAAATGCACAGGTTTTTTACCTGGGTATCCTGCATGATGCTGGGGCCAACGCTTCTATGTTAATTTTCTGTCTAGGTGATCTGTCTAATTCTGAGAGTGGCATGTTGAAGTCTTGAAGTATTATATTATGGTATTTGAGTCTACCTCCTCCTTAAGATCTAATAATATTTGTTTTATATGTCTGAGTCATACAGTGTTGGTAGTATATATGTTTAGAATTGTTATATCCTCCTGCTGAATTGATACCTTTACCATTATATAATAATCCTTTTGTCTTTCTAAATTTTCTTGGACTTAAAATTTGTTTTATCTGATATAAGTAGAGTTAATTCTGCTCACTCTTGGTTTCTGTTTGTGTGGATTATCTTTTTAGTAATCTCTTTGCTTTCAGTCAGTATGTCTTTGGAGAGGCAAAACAAGATGTCAGAATAGAAGTCACCAATTGTCCCTCTCACAAGGACAAAAATTTAACAACTATCTACAAAAAAGTTTGGTTCTTCATAAGAACCAAAAACCAGGTGAGCGCTCACAGTACCTGGTTTAAACTTCATTATCACTGAAAGAGTAACCAAAGAAGTTAAAAAAAAAAAAACAAAAAAAACAAGAGTGTTGAAATAGCTAGCACCCCATCCCCACTTCCTAGCAGCAGTGGCATGGTATGGAAAGCATTTCAGAGCACTAGGAGAGGGAAAGTGCATATTATCAGAGAAAATTACCTTCACAAAAAAATAAGACAGGAAGGAAAAAAGGAAGAGAAGACCACAAAACAAGCAGAAAACAAATAACAAAATGGTAGGAGTAAGTCCTTGCTTATCAATAATAACATTGAATGTAAATGGACTAAACTCTCTAAGAAATATAGACTGGCTGAATGGATAAAAAAAGCAAGATCCATTAATCTGTTGCCTACAAGAAACAGTGGACTTAATCTGCACTGTAGACCAAATGGATCTAACACTCATTTATAGAACATTTCATTCCAAAGCTGCAGAAGACTCATTCTTTTCCTCAGCACATGTATTATTCGCAAGAATAGATCATATATTGGATCACAAAACAAGTCTTAAAACATTCAAAAAACACTTGAAATAATATCAAGCATCTTCTCTGAGCACAATAGAATAAAACTAGAAATTAATAAGAGGAATTTGGGGAACTATACAAATACATGAAAATTAAACAATCTGGTCCTGAATCATCAGTGGGTCAGTGAAGAAATTAAGAAGGAAATGAAAAAAATTTCTTGAAACAAATGATAAGGGAAACAGCATACCAAAACCTACGGAATACAGAAAAAGCAGTACCAAGGGGGAACTTTATAGCTATAAGTGCCTAGATAAGAAAAGGAGAGGCCAGGCGTCGTGGCTCATGCCTGTAATCCCAGCACTCTGGGAGGCCGAGGAGGGCAGATCACGAAGTCAGGAGATCGAGACCATCCTGACTAACATGGTGAAACCCCATCTCTACTAAAAATACAAAAAATTTGCCAGGCATGGTGGCGGGCACCTGTAGTCCCAGCTACTCGAGAGGCTGAGGCAAGAGAATGGCATGAACACAGGAGGTGGAGCTTGCAGTGAGCTGACATCGCACCACTGCACTCCAGCCTGGGTGACAGAGCAAGACTCCATCTCAAAAAACAAACAAATAAAAAACAAAACAAAACAAAACAAAAACAAAAGAAAAGGAGAAAAATTTCAAATAAACAACCACAAAATGCATCTTAAAGAACTAGAAAAGCAAGAGCAAACCAAACACAAAATTAGTAAAAGCAAAGAAATAACAAAGATCAGAGCAAAAATATATAAAATTGAAAGGAAGGAAACAAAACAAAAAATCAGTGAAACAAAAAGTTTTCTGAAAAGTTAAACAAAATTGGCAAAACTTTAGCCAGCATAAGAAAATAAAAAGGGAGAAGATCCAAATTAATAACATCAGAGATGAAAAAAGACACATTACAACTGATACCACAGAAATTTAAAGAATCATTAGTGGCTACTATGAGCAACTACATGTCAATAAATTGGGAAATCTAGAAGAAATAGACAAATTCCTAGACACACGGTTCAACCTATCAAGATTAAACCATAAAGAAATCCAAAACCTGAACAGACCAATAAGAAGTAATAAGACCAAAGCCATAATAAAGTCTCCAGTAAAGAAAAGCTTGGGACATGATGACTTCACTTCTGAATTCTACCAATGATTTAAAGAAGGACGAATACCAATCCTACTCAAACTATTCCAAAAAATAGAGGAGGTGGGAATATTTCCAAACTCCTTCTATAATGCCAATATTACCCCGATATCAAAACCAGACAAAGACACATCAAAAAAATAAAACTACAGGGCGATATCTCTCATAAATATTTTTGCCAAAATCCTCAGCAAAATGCTAGCAAATCAAATTCAACAGTACATTAAAAAGATCATTATTATCACCAAGTGGGATTTATTCCTGGGATGCAAGGATGGTTCAACATACAAAAATCAATCCATGTGATACATTATATCAACAGAATAAAGGATAAAAACCATATGATCATTTCTATTGATGATGTAAAAGCATTTGATAAAGTTCAACATCTCTTTATGATGAAAACCCACAAAAAACTGGGTACAGAAGGAACATACCTCAACATAACAAAAACTATATATGACAAACCAACAGCTAGTATCAAACTGATTGATGACAAACTGAAAGCCTTTTTTCTAAGATTGGGAACATGGCAAGGTTGCCCACTTTTACCACTTGTTTTAGACCATTTTCATGCTGCTGATGAAGACATACCTGAGACTGAGCAATTTACAAAAGAAAGAGTTAATGGACTAACAGTTCCACATGGCTAGGGAGGCCTCACAATCATGGTGGAAGGTGAAATGCACATCTCACATGGTGGCAGACAAGAGAAGAGAACTTGTGCAGGGAAACTCCCCTTTATAAAACCATCAGATCTTATGAGACTTATTCACTATCATGAGAATAGCATGGGAAAGACCCACCCCTGTGACTCAATTATCTCCCACTGGGTCCCTCCCACAACACATGGGAATTAGGGGGGCTACAATTCAAGATGAGATTTAGGTAGAGACACAGCCAAACCATATCATTCTGCCCCTGGCCCCTCCAAAATCTCATGTCCTCACATTTTAGAACCAATCATGCCTTTCCAACAGTCCCCCAGAGTTTTAACTCATTTCTGCATTAATTCAAAAGTCCACAGTCCGAAGTCTTATCCAAGACAAGGTAAGTCCCTTCAGACAGTGAGCTCGTAAAATCAAAAGCAAGTTAGTTACTTCCTAGATACAATGGGGGTAGAGGCTTGGGTAAATACAGCCACTCCAAATGGGATAAATTGGTCAAAACAAAGGGGCTACAAGCCCCATGCAAGTCCAGATTTCAGAGGGCAGTCAAATCTTAAAGCTACAACATGGTCTCCTTTGACTCCATGTCTCACATGCAGATCACACTGGTGCAAGTGGTGGGTTCCCATGGTCTTGGGCAGCTCTGTCCCTGTGGCTTTGCAGGGTACAGCCTTCCTGGCTGCTTTCATGGGCTGGAGTTGAGTGTCTGCAGCTTTCCCAGGCACACGATGCAAGCTGTCAGTGGATCTATCATTCTGGGGTCTGGAGGATGGTGGCCCTCTTCTCACAATTTCACTAGGCAGTGCCTCAGTGGGACTATGTGTGGGGGCACCCACCCCACATTTCCCTTCTGCACTGCCCTAGCAGATGTTCTCCATGAGTGCCCCACCTCTGCAGCAAACTTCCCCCTGGACACACAGGCATTTCCATACATCCTCTGAAATCTAGGTGGAGGTTCCCAAACCTCAATTCTTGACTTCTTTGCACTCACAGGCTGAATATCACATAGAAACTGCCAAGGCTTGAGGCTTGCACCCTCTGAAGTCATAGCCTGAGCTGTACCTTAGCCCCTTTTAGTCACAGCTGGAGTGGCTAGGAAGCAGGGCACCAAGTCCCTAGACTGCACATAGCAGAGGAACCCTGGGCGCAGCCAACAAAACAATTTTTTCCTCCTAGGTCTCCAGGCCTGTGATGGGAGGAGCTGCCGCAAAGGTCTCTGACATGCCCTGGAGACATTTTCGCCATTGTCTTGGGGATTAACATTGGTTCCTTGTTACTTATGCAAATTTATTAGCAGGATTGAATTTCTCCTCAAAAAAATGGGATTTTCTTTTCTATCACATTGTCAGGCTACAAATGTTCTGAACTTTTATTCTCTGTTTCCATTTTAAAATGCCTTTAACAGCACCCAAGTCATATCTTCAATGCTTTGCTGCTTTGAAATTTCTTCTGCCAGATATCCTAAATCATTTCTCTCAAGTTCAACATTCCACAAATCTCTAGTGCAGGGGCAAAATGCCACCAGTCTCTTTGCTAAAACATAACAAGAGTCACCTTTGCTCCAGTTCCCAACAAGTTCCTGAGACTAACTCAGCTTGAATTTTATTGTCCATATCATTATCAGTATTTTGGTCAAAGCCATTCAACAAGTCTCTAGGGAGTTCCAAACTTTTCTGCATTTTCCTATCTTTTTCTGAGCCCTCCAAACTGTTCCTACATCTGCCTATTACACAGTTCCCAAGTTGCTTCCACATTTTGGGTATCTTTTAAGCAGCACCCCACTCTACCAGTATCGATTTACTGTATTAGTCAATGCTGCTGATAAAGACATACCCGAGACTGGGCAATTTACAAAAGAAAAAAGTTTAATGGACTCACAGTTCCACGTGTCTGGGGAGGCCTCACAATCATGGCAGAAAGTGAAAGGCAGCACATCTCACATGGCAGCAGACAAGAAAAGAGAATTTATGCAGGGAAACTCCCCTTTATAGAACCATCAGAGCTCATAAGACTTATTCACTGTCATGAGAATAGCACAGGAAAGACCCACCTCCATGAGTCAATTATCTCCCACCTGGTCTCTCTCACAACACATGAAAATTATGGGAACTACAATTCAAGATGAGATTTGAGTGGGGACACAGCCAAACCATATCACCACTTTTATTCAACATGTTACTAGAAGTCTTAGCTAGAGCAATCAGACAAAAGAAGGAAATCAAGAGTATCCAAATTGGATAGGAAGAAATCAAATTATCTTTGTTTGCAGATGTTATCATCTTATATTTTATAAAAAACTAAAGACTCCATATGTTATAAAAAACTAAAGACTCCACACACAAAAAAAAACTATTAGAACTGATAAACAAATACAATAAAGTTTCAGGACACAAAATCAACACAAAAAAATTCGTAACATTTCTGTATGCCAACAGTAAACAATCTGAAAAAGAAATAAAAAGGTAGTCCCATTTACAATAGCCACAAATAAAATTCAATATCTTGGAATTAACCAAAGAAGTCAAAGTCTCTGTAATGAAAACTCTAAACACTGATGAAAGAAATTGAAAAGGACTCAAAAAAATGGAAAGATATTCCATGTTCACAAATTGGAAGAATAAATATTATTAAAATGTTCATACTGCCCAGAGCAATCTACAGATTAAATATAATCCCTATCAAAATACCAACTACATTCTTCACAAAAATAGAATAAAGAATCCTGAAATTTACATGAAGCCTCAAAAGACCCAAAGCTATCTTAAGCAAAAATAACAAAACTTGAGGAATCACAATTTCTGACTTCAAATTATACTACAGAGCTATAGTAACCAAAATATTATGGTACTGGCATAAAAACAGAAACGTAGACCAGTGAGACAGAATAGAGAACCCAGGAACAAATCTACACACCTACATTTACTCAAATGTGTACATTGAGTGAACTCATTTTCGACAAAAGTGTCAAGAACATACACTGTGAAAAAGTCTCTTCAATAAATGGTGCTTGGAAAACTGGATATCCATATGCAGAAGAAGGAAACGAAACTCCTATCTCTCACTATGTACAAAAATCAAATAAAAATGGATTAAAGACTTAAATCAAAGACCTCAAACTATGAAACTACTACAAGAAAACATTGGGGAAACTCTCCTGGACATTGGTCTTGACAATAATTTCTTGAGCAATACCCCCAAAACACAGGCAACCAAAACAAAAATGGACAAACGGGATTGCATCAAGTTAAAAAGCTTCTGCACAGCACAGGATGTAATCAACAAAGTGAAGAGACAACCCAAAGAATGGAAAAAATATTTGCAAACTACCCATCTGACAAGGAATTAATAACCAGAATACATAAGGAGCTCAAACAACTACAGGAAAAAATCTAATAATCCAATTAAAAAAATGGGCAAAAGAGAGACATTCAGAGAATGTCAGAATTAGACATTTCTCTAAAAAAACATGCAAATGGGAAACAGGCATATGAAAATGTTCTCAACATCATTGATCATCAGCAAAATGCAAATCAAAACTACAATTAAATATATCACCCCTGTTAAAGTGGCTTGTCTTCAAAAGAAAGCCAATAACAAATGCTGGTGAGGATGTGGAGCAAAGGGAACCCTTGTCCACTGTTGGTGGAAATGTACATTAGTACAACCACTATTGAGAACACTTTGGTGGTTCCTCCAAAAACTAAAAATGGAGCTGCCATAAGACCCGGTAATTCCACTGCTGGGTATATATCTACAAGTCAAAAAAAAACTGGTATATTGGAGAAATATCTGCACTCCCCTGTTTGTTGCAGCATTGTTCACAATAGCCAAAATTTGGAAGCAAGCTAAGTGTTCATCAACAGATGAATGGATAAAGAACATGTGGTAAATATACACAATGGAATATGAATCAGCCATAAAAAAGAAAGAGATCCTGTCATTTGCAACATGGATGGAACTGAAGTTCACTATGTTATGTGAAATAAGCCAGGCACAGAAAGACAAACATTTCATGTTCTCACTTATTTGTGGCATCTAAAAATGAAAACAATTGAACTCATGGACATAGGGCATGGGATGGTTACCAGATTCTGGGAAGGATAGTGGATGGAGGGGTAGGGGTAGGAGGGAGATTAATGGGTACAAAAAATTAGTTAGAAATAATGAATAAGACCTACTATTTGATAGCACAAGAGGGTGACTATAGTCAATAAAAATTTAATTGTACATTTTAAAATAACTAAAATAATATAATCGGACTGTTTGTAACACAAAGGATAAATGTTTGAGGAGATTGATATCCCATTCTTTATGATATGATTATCATATATTGCATGCCTATATCAAAACATCTCATGTACCACATAAATATATACCCTTACTATGTACTCACAAAAATTAACCGCAAAAAGTTACAAAATAAATAAATAAGCATTGTCATTAGAAAATATCTTTACAGGTGAGATGAGTTTCCTGTAGGCAGCATGTAATCGGGTTTTTTTTGTTTTGTTTTGTTTTGTTTTGTTTGAGACAGTCTCGGGCTGTCACCCAGGCTGGAGTGCAGTGGCACGATCTTGGCTCATTGCAACCTCTGAATCCTGGATTCAAGTGATTCATCTGCCTCCTGAGTAGCTGGGACTACAGGTGTGTACCACCATGCCTGGATAATTTTTTGTATTTTTAGTAGAGATAGGGTCTCACCATGTTAGCCAGGATGGTCTCGATCTCCTGACCTCGCGATCCACCTGCCTCAGCCTCCCAAAGTACTGGGATTACAAGCATGAGCCACTGTGCCTGGCCTGGACCATATTTTTTATCCATTCAGATAGTCTATATCTTTTAAGTGGAAAGCTTAATCTGTTTACGTTAAAGGTTGTTATTGATATGTGAAAGCTTATCCTTGTCATTCTACTAATTGATTTCTGCTTGTTTTGTATATCCTTGGTTCCTTTCTTTCTCTTTTCTTGTTTATCATTGTGATTTGGTGGTTTTCTGTGGTAGTAACATTTAAGTTCTTTCTTTTTTTAATCTCTGTGTTTGCTTTACCATTGAGTTTTATACATTCATGTCTATTCAGGATAATGGATGTAGTCCTTTTGCTTCCAGCTGTAGGACTCTCTTATGCATTTCTTGTAGGTCTGGTCTAGTGGTAATGAATTTCCTCATCTTTTGCTTGCATAGGAAGGACTATTTGTCCTTTTAGTAAAGAATAACTTTGCTGCAGATAGTATCCTTGGTCAGCTGCTTTTTTTTTTTCTTTCTACACTTTGAATATATTATCCCTTTCAGGACTTTAAATATAAAATCCCATTTTCTCTTTTTATTACTTTTTTTTTTTTTTTTGGCTGAGAAATCTGCTGTTAGTCTGATTGTGGGGTGGGGGTGGGGAGGTCCCTTTATATATGACTAGGTGTCTTTTTCTTGCTGCCTTACAATTTTCTCTTTGTCTTTGACTTTTTTTTGACAGTTTGACTATGATGTGCTGTGGAGATAAAATGTTTTAATTGTGTGTATTTGAGATATTTTAGCTTCCTATTTCTGGATGTCTAAATATGTTGCTAAACTTGGAATGTTCCAGCTATTATTTTTTCAAATGGTTTTTCTATACCTTTTTTTTCCTTTTGCCTTCAGGGACACAAAATAATTTGAATACCTGGTTGCTTTACGGTGTTACATAAGTCATGTGGATTTATTCCTTCTCTTTTTTTATCTACTTTTGTCTGACTGGGTTATTTCAAAAGACCTTTCTTCAAATTCTAAAGTTCTTTCTTTTGCTTCATATAGTTCCTTTTTGAAGGTTTTAAGTGTATTTTTTATTTCATTCAGTGATCTCTTCATTTCCAGAATTTCCATATGAATTTTTTTATTATAACTATCTCTGGTGAATTTCTCATTCATATCTGGTGTGGTTTGGCTGTGTCCCCACGCAAATCTCATCTTGTATTGTAGTTCCCATAATCCCCATGTGTCATGGGATAGGCCAGGTGGGAGGTAATTGAATCATGGGTGTGGGTTTCATCTGTGCTGTTCTTGTGATAGTGAATAAGTCTCATGAGATCTGATTGTTTTATAAACGGCAGCTCCCCTGCATTTGCTGTCTTGCCTGATGCCATGTAAGACATGCCTTTGCTCTTCCTTTGCTTTCCACCATGATTGTGAGGACTCCCCAGCCATGTGAAACTGTGAGTCCATTAAACCTCTTTTTCTTTATAAATTCCCCAGTCTTGGGTATTTCCTCATAGTAGTATGAAAGTGGACTAATGCAATATCCTAGACTGTTTTTCTGATCTCTTTGTATTGCTTATTTGTGTTCTCTTGTATTTCACTGAGCTTCTTTTTTTTTTCTTTTTTCTTTTTTTTGACAGAGTTTTGCTCTGTCGCCCAGGCTGGAGTGCAGTGGAGAGATCTTGGCTCACTGCAACCTCCGCCTCCCAGGTTCACGCCATTCTCCTACCTCAGCCTCCCTAGTAGCTGGGACTACAGGTGCCCGCCACCAAGCCTGGCTAATTTTTTTTTGTATTTTTAGTAGAGATGGGGTTTTACTATGTTATCCAGGATGGTCTCGATCTCCTGACCTCGTGATCCACCTGCCTTGGCCTCCCAAAGTGCTGGGATTACAGGCAAGAGCCACTGTGCCTGGCCCCTCACTGAGTTTCTTTAATATCATTATTTTGATTTATCTTTCCGGGACTTGAAAATTTTCCTTTTCATTGGAATCTGTTTCTGGAGAATTATTTTCTCTCTTTGAAGGTGTCATACTCCTTGATTTTTCATATTTCTTCTGTCTTTCTGTTGATATACATCATTGGTATAATATAATTGACATTCGATATAATAGTCACTTCTTCCAACCTTTTGCATTTGCTTTCACAGGAGAAATTTTCCTGTAGGTGTATCTATGGTGTTGGTTCTGTAGGACATTTTAGCTTTGATTCTGGGTGTATGGAATAGTGTAGTCTCTGTATGATTTATTTGGCTATAATCAGCCTCAATGGTGTCTGTAATTTCCTCAGTGGCTTAGGATGTGGCTGTTAGTAGTGTCTGTGTGAGAGTTTTGCTGGGGATTGGGATGCCAGGTAACCCATTTTACAGTTCCCAGTGGTGGCAGTGGTAGGTTGAGCATGCCTATTTTTTTGGTCCCAGGGCAGCATACACTAGCACCAATGTTAACCTGTCCAGGCAGATCAATTACTGGGCCTCTGGGAGGCTTTTCGTGTGCCAATAACGGCAGTGGTAGGCTGGGCAGGTGGGTGGGTACTTGGGCCTCTGGGCAGTGGACATGGTGTAGGCAATGGCAGGAGGAGTGATAGGACAACCCTATTGATCCCAAGTAGTCTGCATTGGTATTTTGGTGGCTGTGATAAGCTGGGTGTGCCAGTCCCCAGGCCTGCAGCTGGTGTTTTCAGGTGGGTGCAACTATGGTGTCAGCAGTAGTTTGTGTGGGCCCAATGTCAGGCCCCTGAGAGGTGTGCTTAGGTGTCAATGGTGGTGGACTGTGCTGGGTGATCCTCAGACCCCTGTACAATGTGCTCAGGCACTGGACGGGGTGTGGGGCTTGTCTGGGAAGACCTGTTCTAAAGTCCCCTGGTAATGCGTGCAGGTACTGGCTGTGATAGGCAAAAGCAGGATGATCCCTGGCAGAATGCTTGGGTAAGGGTAGCAGGAGTTACAATATACCCCTGCTACTAGAGAAGGTGGCATGGCTTTCAGTGGCAGCAGCCATAGACAAGCGGCTGGGATATCAGCCCCAGGTGGAGGTTACAAGTGGGATACCCTGTTATTAGGGCCTTTGTAAATGTGCAGCATTTCTGCTGGTGAGGGTAGGTCATGCTTTGGCCTTGGTGGAGGCAGCCCTCCACCAAGGTGGTACAGTTTGTGGTAGCTGGTCTGCTGCTAAGGGCAGAGGGGTCAATGCCAATGGTTCGAGCATTGCCCCTGGCAACAGCAACCAACCATGGTGGTGGCTGCAGGCAGGGGATGTCAACGGGGCCCTGGAGATGCAGAGATGCAACAGCTTTTGAACCCTATGGCAGGATGCAGTATGGTGGGGGCTGGGTTTTACATTTAAAGACAATGTAAAATATAAGGTGAAAATAGAAAAAAAAAATGACACATTTGTCCACATAGTAAGTCTGAAAACAACTCTTACATATAAATTATTAAAAGTAATAAGATAATTTTGTGAGTCCATTGAATATATTAATATATAAAACTATTAGAAAATGTAATTCAAAAATTACAATATCAATAACAATAAGGTGTCTAGAAATAAGTTTAACAAGTGATGGGTAAGACAAATAAAAAATTGTAAAATTGCATTTAAATATAAATTCAAATTGTTGGTGAGACTGTATACAAGATAAATTCTCATATCTTAATTGCAACTACATGTGATAAAACCTTTTTGGAAACTGTTTAGCCTAACTTAATAGAGTTGGAAAACATACAAGGAATGCTTACAGTTATAAGAAATGAAACAAGAGGCATATTCAGGAATATTTATTTACAAAATTGTTTGTATGGTAAATAGGATTTCAAAATGGTCCTCATGATTTTCACCCTCTGGTGTACACACCCTGTATAATGCCCTCACCTTGAGTGTGAGGAGTACTGCTGAATATGATATTTCACTCCTATGATTCTATTATGTTTTATTGCAGGAAGAATTTTGCAGAGACAATTAAGGTATGTAATTAGTTGACTTTGAGTTAATCAGAAGGAATATCACTCTTGGTGGGCCTCATATAATCAGAGAGCCCTTAAAAGAAGTAGGAGAGACTCAAAGTTAGAGGTATTTTTTCTGCTGTACTTGGATAAGCAAACATTTATGTTGTAGAATGGTTCCCATGGCAGAAAATAGTAAGTGGTCCCCAAAGCTGTGAAAGGTCCCAGTTGGCAAGCAGCAAGAAAAGTGGGGATCTCAGTCTTACAACTCTAAAGAAATTAATTCTACAAATGACTTAAATGGGTTTGAAAGAGGAGCTTGAGCCTCAGAGGAGACCGCAGCCCTGCCCAATGCCATTATTTTGGACTTGTGAGACCCTAAGCAAATAAACTCAGCTGAGCCATGCAGTGCCCAGACTCTTAACTCACAAAATTGCAAGATAACCCGTTTGTGGTATTTAAGTTTCTAAGTTTGTGATAATGTGAGCAATGGAAAACTAACACATTTTGTAATAGAAAAAAGAACTTTGAAATAATCCAAATGTTTATGCGTGACGTATGGATAATAAATTATTTCAATAAAGGCATGCAATGGTATACTAAACCTAAACCATGCAAAAATTAAATAAACTATAGCTATGTATGCCTAATGTGAATAAATCTAAAATCTGTTGAGGAAAAAAAGGAAAATCATAAAAGTATACACATTATCATTCTGTTTATATAATTATTAAACAAAAAACTTGAATAATTTATCAATTAAGTACATAAATAAATAAGTAATTTTAATATACTAGTCAGAATAGAGACACACGTAGAGGCAAAAGATATTTTGAGAGAGTTATTAAAGCAGTTTCCGAAGTATTGTTATTAGTCTATTTTTTAACTCAGTGTTGAATACATAGGTGTTTATTACATTTTAAACTCTGCCTATATATTATATACATTCTTTTATATGGAAGACGTATTTTATCTATTAAAAAGTACCCAAATTTTAGAAAGTTAATCTCTTGTCTTCCCAGATTTTACATTGAGTAATAAGTTCATCAAGTGAAAAAAATTATGTAAGGCTCTCCAAACTCATTTAAATACAGCAAAAGCAGTAACAGCCATGGTAGTAGTCATCTCTTCACCCTAATTAGTGATGGCAGTTGAGATAGATTAGCAAAGTGAGCCAGGAGACTAATGACCCAAGTGTCATCTTTCTTTTGTGTTCTATGCTTTGCATGTTCAATCTGTACTGTGTTGGGGAAGTGAAACTGAGAGAAAACCAAGGAGTTAATGACAATGAGAGAGAAAGATACAAAGGCAGAAAATTGGAAAAGAAAAAACATAAATATGCTTTACATTTATTGCATTAATTAGAAAGTGAATCATAAACTTGAGTTTAACTGGCAATATAACTATGGGTGGATATCCAGTTGAATATTTAGCCTGTGTTCGTAATATTGAGCTGTTTTGCTTATACAGCTTGACTGCTGTGTTGGGTACTCCTTGATTCAGGAGAATTACCTTAAATAAGGGCCCTGAGAAACTCCATCAAATCTGTATTCCTGAATTGTCTTGATGAACGATTGAAATGCAAAGCATTTCTACGTTTTTACACCAATTCTCCAAATCTAGTTCTACTCCTCCAAAGCCAGTTCTGAATTTGGTGATCACTATGGCTAATGTGCTGATCTGACCTAGACCCATCACAGGAAAACACTTTGCAATAAGACTTTGGATAGATATACGCATGTCTCTTGCATTCTCATCTTTTTTTTTTTTTTTTTTTTTTTTTGAGACGGAGTCTCGCTCTGTCGCCCAGGCTCTGGAGTGCAGTGGCGCAATCTCGGCTCACTCAAGCTCCGCCTCCCGGGTTCATGCCATTCTCCTGCCTCAGCCTCTGGAGTAGCTGGGACTACAGGAACCCGCCACCACGCCCGGCTAATTTTTTTGTATTTTTAGTAGAGACGGGGTTTCACTGTGTTAGCCAGGATGGTCTTGATCTCCTGACCTCATGATCTGCCCGCCTGAGCCTCCCAAAGTGCTGGGATTACAGGCGTGAGCCACCGCGTCCGGCCTCTTATCTCTTGTAATTAAACAATGCTAAATCATATTTCCCAAAACCTAATCCCCATGATTAGCAAGCAAGGATCATTATGTATGCCCATATTCCTAGACATTATTAGCACTTTCTACTTTGCAAATTAATTCTAGGCTAGAACTAGGGAAGTTAGTGTAAACAGAGTCATACTGTGTAACTGTTATTACCGTGGCTTGAGAAAGATAGAAAATTATTTATTACAAAGAATTATCACTGAAACTGAGAGAAAAATATCCATCAATTTTTCAGTGTAAAAATTTTCATAATCATTTTGCTGTAGGGTTTAAGGACATTATTTTCACTTAGTAAATTCCAACTTAATATTAAAGCACTATGCCACTATTTCATCCCTCTCCATTTTCACTCCCAACAGCCCACTCCAGCAAAAGCAACATTTATCTATGCTAAACTAATATTCACAGAATTTTAGAGCTAGAAAAGATCCAAACTATCATGTGGTTCAACCCAACAATAAAATTACATTAGACATGATTGTTAAACAAAATTTCTTTTTGAAAGAAACTCTAGAAAAGAAAACAATATTCTCTGTAGATGGTCATTTAAAAGGTTTATTAACTCCCCGAGTTTGAGAAAAAAGCACTTTTTAAGCAACTAAATTTTGGCACACACACGCAAAATAATTAAGTCAACTATCAAAGTGACAAGACCATGTAGAATGGAGATTATAAAGGAACAACATTTATAAATGTTGGCAACCAGTTGTATACCAGGAAACCAAAAGCAATTTATGTAGGAGTTTGGCATCCTAGATTCTCTCTAAAATTCTGTGACTAATTTCTCAAGTGGTTTTATTTGCTCTGACTTAATCACTCTACTACCTACTTCACAATATAGATGACGGCATTTGATCATAACCAATGCTCCAAGGGACATTGGAATAAAATATGTCAGTAAGGTTTTAAACAAGAATGGTCCGATAACTGACAATGGAGCACATTGTAAGGTTTAAGTAGGAAAATGTGAGATAAATTAGTTTTCTCCTCTTGTATGTTTTCAAAAGCTAGAGACTATTGTTTCCTTGCCTTTTTGTCATTCCAGTACTACTTTTTCTAACGTAATTGATTCAAAACCCATTCATAATTTCTGCTATGCTGCACCTGCTATATATACTGTGCTTTGATCAATATTTTTGTTCTTATCAAGTATATCTATCAGTCAGCACTTTCAGGGCTTCAAGATGACTTCTTCCCTTAAAAAAAATCCAAAAATAATCCTTTATACAAGGCTCTCATATACATTACCACATTTTATTCTCAAAGCAAAGTGGCAGAGGTATATAGATTTCCACTCTCTCTATGGGAGAAAAGAGCCTGAAAAGTTAAGTGGCCTGCTCCAGATCATAGTTCAATAAGTGATTGAACCAAGAATAAAAGTCAAGTTTCTTCTCACAATGACCAGAATGATTTTTTTTTTTTTTTTTTTTGAGATGGAGTTTCACTGTGTTGCCCAGGCTGGAGTGCAGTGGCATATCTCGGCTCACCACAACCTCCACCTCCCGGGTTCAAGGTATTCTCCTGCCTCAGCCTCCCGAGTAGCTGGGACTACAGGCATGCACCACCATGCCCGGCTAATTTTTGTATTTTTAGTAGAGACAGGGTTTCACTATGTTGGCCAGACTGGTCTTGAACTCCTAACCTCATGATCCACCTGCCTCGGCCTCCCAAAGTGCTGGGATTACAGGCGTGAGCCACTGCGCCTGGCCCCAGCATGATTTCTTAATGCCACCTTGTCTCTTTAGCTGTGTCAGTTGGTCCTTGTTCATCGCTCCCTCTCCATTGTCACTCTTCACTCCCACGTATATTTCCATGCAATAATATTTAAAAGCTCTTATACAAATTGATAGTGACAACAAGACAAACTACCAGTGACTTCTATCTTCAAAGCCTTTGTAGTAGCTGACTTCCCAATGGCACTTAGGTGCCACTGGAACACTTACATGGAAATAATCTGGACCTGATGGAAGAAATTTCTGGTACCTCTGCTAGCAGGAATTATGTGAATTTAAAGAGGGTTTCCCTTCTTCTGCTCAAGAACCATGGATTCATCATTATTTCTGAATATTTTGCCATATTGTATCATTCATTAATGGCTAGATTATTTAGGTTCCATATATTGAACTGGGAAAAATAATTATAAAACTTAAATTTATTAGAAACATAGTCAATTACTATAATTTTTATATCAGTCAGGGGCCAGGCAGAAACTATTCTAGGTAGTTAAATTGAGAAAATTTTAATACATAAGTAATACGCAAAGAAAGAGCTGAGAAGCCAACAGGGGATAGTGAAGCAACCAAAAGATGAGCAATTGTATAAAGCCACTACCACGTCTAAGGCTGGGGTGGCAAAGGTAAGTCTTATTACCAGAATTGCCTGGTAAGGACTAGAACTGAGCAAAGGCTGTCTAGTGGGGAACTAAAACCACAGAGGAAAACCATCCACTACTGTAAAATGCTACTGAGGATGAACTTGCAGAGGAGAAATACCCTGGCTTTTTCCATTCTTCCTCTACTACCACCCTACCCCCTACCTCTCATGAGCTAATCTACCTGGAAGCCAGCTGGCAATGAAACCTGAGAACCATAGTTTATAGGTGAAGGATTGAAAATGAATATCAGTAGAATAAACTATGACCAACTCACTTTCCATGTCATAAAAGAGAAATTTAGAGCTGTTAACTAATTACTAAATTATGTTCAATTTACTTTTCTTTTAAATAATTAAAATGATCTGCAAATCTTTGAGTAGTTTAGACATTGTAGCATTTGGTAGATAATGTATTTGGTTAGTGAAACCACTGCTAAATATAAGAAGTTCTGCAGCAGAAGTACCGTTGTATTTTCTTACTACATTCTTTAAACAATAATAATGGATATTATTACACCGAAATACATAGTATAATTACGCAATTTATTTGGACTTCATGAAGAAAAGTTTTGTGTAGCCTGTCTTAATATGTTTATGCCTCCATTTACAAATGTATTCTATAAGCAGTCACGCAAGACCTAATGTGCAGCATGGAATGGGCTAGTCCCTAGAGAAACAACTATTTTCATAAGACAGGCTCATGTCTTCAAGAAACAGAGAGCAAAGAAATTAAGACTACAGCATGAAATACACATATGACATAGATACACATTGAAGTGGTACACAAATCAGGAAGCAATTCATTTTTCCAGGGGGGAAGGGAGTCAGACAAGGCTTCACATAAAAGGTGACATTTTAGTCAAATCTGAAAAGATAAGGAAGAACCAAATCAATTGCTATGTCTCTCTGAAACCTGCCCAGGCTCCTCTCCCATACATAACAGTGATCATTACTTTGGATCAACTGTAATGCATAATTACCTGGATACTTTAAGAAAATTCTGAAATAATCCATCACATTACCATCCACTTGGCAATGCAAGAAACCTAGCAGATATATCAAAATTTTAAAGATTGTCAACCTAAACAACTGACAGAGAGCGGCTCTGTAAAAGAAAATTATATTTATTCAGGAATAGGCATTGCAATGGGAATACAAGTGGCATAGTTAACTATGTGCATATTCAGTAAAGTAAAATAAGACAGATTTTTTGTTTGTTTGTTTTTTGAGATGGAGTTTCACTCTTGTTGCCAAGGCTGGAGTGCAATGGCATAATCTCGGCTCACCACAACCTCTACCTCCCAGGTTCAAGCAATTCTCCTGCCTCAGCCTCCCAAGTAGCTGGAATTACAAGCATGCGCCACCACATCCAGCTAATTTTTTGTATTTTTGGTAGAGATGGGGTTTCTCCATGTTGGTCAGGCTGGTCTTGAACTCCCGACCTCAGGTGATCTGCCCGCCTTGGCCTCCCAAGGACAGATGTTTTTAAAGAAGAAATGAGGTGCATTACATAATTGTTTTGAAATAATTATTCTTAGCTACAAGGATCAATAACAAGAGTGGCACCAGTTTGGGGTTGGAAAGGCACTTGCTTTTCTTTAAGGTTGTGGTGGCCTTTGTGCAAGGTTGTGATTTTTGCATAGTCCTTTGTGATCATTCTTATTATCAGGCATTCCTGCATGAGAACCCTCCCTTCATGCCCTTCCTGGGCTCCATTTCTCATGGTTTTTAACACAAGTGACTTCATTTTTATTCTAAAACTTTCATAAGCTCTTTGAACAGTACATGCTACAGAGTTACCTTCTTTTTGTCATTCATAACCCCATCCCTTTCCTATCCTGCATCCCTGATATTGCTAAATATTTTATCGAACTGCTCTTTGATCTACTTTATTTTCTTTCCCAGTAAAACCCAAGAGCCATGTAGACCTCCAGTTTACATTAAGGCAAATTCCTTGAGGCTATAATGAAAGCCATTCTTTCTTCTCCCACGTTGGAAAAAGGATTTAGATATTTTATCACTGGAAATCTGTCCTTATCCAAGATGTTGATGGCCTCTTGCTAGCCACTCCTTCACTGGAAGATAAGATACCTAAACCTTGTTGTATAGACCTTCTGTGCTACAAAACTTTTTTCTTTTTTTTGAGACTGAGTCTCACTCTGTCACCCAGGCTGTAGTGCAGTAGCGCGATCTTGGCTTACTGCAAATTCCACCTCCCAGGTTCAAGCGATTCTCATGCCTCGGCCTCCAAGTAACTGGAATTACAGACATGCACCACCACGCCCGGCTAATTTTTGTATTTTTATTAGAGATGAGGTTTTGCCATGCTGCCAGGCTGGTCTCAAACTCCGGATCTCAGGTGATCCACCCGTCTCGGCCTCCCAAAGTGCTGGGATTACAGACATGAGCCACCATGCCTGGCCTGTGCTACAAAACTCTAAAATACATATGGTTTTGTCTGTCTCAGATTCATCACTTAGAACATTTCATACCTATTCAGAAGTGAGATTTTCTCCTAAGAGAAAAAGCAATCCCAAGGTCCTAAGATCCACCCAAATTTCACAAATGTCCACTCTCTTGCATATGGCCAGCTATTACTGATATAGTATACTAAATATGATTCTAATATGATGATTCTAAGTGCATCCAATTTAAAGTACTATTCCAGAGTCATGACCTTTGTCACAGGAAGCCGAAGACGCTTTTTACTCTTTAAAAGAAACCTTGTAGAGAACTCCAGCATTAAGTCTCCTTGATAATCATTGAGCCAATACATTTTTCACAAAGAAACTGTTTTAGGTATGAACATATGTTCAAGACAGTGACCCATTGCTTAATATAAGTCAGTTCTCCCCTGACTCAAGTGGCTGGTTTGTCGCCTTTCCTGCAGCTGCTATTGTGATTGAGACTTCCTTTACTTTGGCCTTACCCACCTCTCTGACTATAGCTATCTCCCACACACTAACAGCACTCCTGAAGATGTTAGCAGTGATGAATCTTTATGGGTCTGCAGCAATGCAGTTCTTGCCCCCTTGGAGGAAATAATTCAGCTGAGGAGCAAATGGCAAAGTGAGAGACTGAGGCAAGTTTTAGAATAGGAGTGAAAGTTTATTAAAAAGCTTTATACCTGGGAGGCTGAGGCGGGAGGATCATTTGAATCTGGGAGGTGGAGGTTGCAGTGAGCTAAGATCACACCACTGCACTTCAGCCTGGGCAACAGAGCAAGACTCTGTCTCAGAAAAAAAAAAAAAAAAAAAAAAGCTTTAGAGCAGAAACAAAAGGAAGCAAAGTACACTTGGAAGAGGGCCAAGTGGATGACTTGAGAGATCTGAAACCACCAGTGCAAAATTATAACGAAGACAGTGAAAGAGATCTGACCTAATCAACTCCATCTTGTTTCTAACCTCCCAGCTGTCCCTGTTCATTCCTGGGCAGAGGCTGAACTAACTTTGGGAGGAACTTAGTTTATATTCTATAGTTTAAACAAAGATGATAACAGCCCTTTCCCAAAAGAAACCTCCTTCTTGCCTGGGGACTAGACTTCCCTTGTAGGACTAACAAATTAGTCACAAGATTAGAAATTATGGTTCAGGAGTCATGCAGCTGGAGACTACAAGATTCTGACCCTCCCTAAACTGCTCCTGAGATCAGTGCTTGAGATATTTTGCAGACCCTGCACTTGGTGGATCAGCTGGCACCACCCAGATTAATAAACTGGCTTATCTGATCTTGTGGCCCCCATCCAGGAACTGACTCAGCACAAGAAGACAGTTTCAACTCCCTATGATTTCAACTCCAACCCAACTAATCAGCACTCTTGACTCACTGGCTGCCCCCCAACCCACCAAATTAGCTATAAAATCTCTGATCTATGAATGCCTGAGGAGATTGATTTGAGTAATAATAAAAACTCTAGTCTCCCTCACAGCTGGCTCTGTGTGAATTAGCGTTTCTCCATCGCAATTCCCCCATCTTGATAAATTGGCTCTGTCTAGGCAGCAGGCAAGGTGAACCCATTGGGTAGTTACAGATCCAAGTGCACTGTACGGCCCTTGACTTGGGGTTTTATACATTGGCATGGTTCAGGGATTGTAGTTTATCCTCTCTTGATTTTTTCCTTGGAGTGGACTGTCCACAGGCCCAGTTGCCTGCCAGCAATTGGGAGGGGCCGCATGTACACTGTGTTTACTGAAGTTGTGCACATGCTCATTTGAGATGTCTTTCCCTTACCAGTTGAGTGTACCTACAGGAAGGTCATATATCAGTTAAACTCTGACATTTTGCCCCTTAGTTTACATGCTTAAGCTTGCTCACCCAACTCCTAGAGATCTTATTGGGAAGCTGCTGATCACCAGCTTTAGGTGTTTCCTATCTGTTAGGAGCCTGCCTTTCCCTGGTGCCAGCTGCAACCAATTATCATTTTAGCGAGACAGCTTAACAACCACATGACTGTCACCTGATGGTTACAGGTGACAGGGGGGTTTTCTCTTACCCTGCTCACGTCTGCCTAGCTACCTACTAAAAAATTCACACAATCACATTTTAATGCTAGCTTAACAAACTGCAATTGTATTATTCTCCGTTTGCCATTGGCTTATACTAAACTCAGCCTCTTTTCTTCTGTTTCAATGGAAGGGAAGTTCCCTATCATCACTGTCCACTATTCAAACCCAATATTAACTTCTAAACTTTTTTTTCAAAATTATCATCTCATATTTATATAGACATGCCCTGACAGTGGCATCATGAGAAAAAAAAGTTGTTTTGGAATATGCAGTAACACGAGAATGTAGAAAATATTTTGTTATCTATATGACTGAATTTATAATCTCTGATATTGTTTATGATTATAGACAATGGAGAAAACAATGAGAATTTATCCTCTCAGTAGGTATTAAAACTGTCTGTTTGTCCTTTTATTGATAATCTTTTTATATGTTATATAATTCCTTTATAATACAGCTGTTATAAATGGTGTTGCTCTCCAAACATCTTCAGCAAGAAAATGTTTGACTCTCACTGGAGCCAAAGTAATGGCCATTTTCCCTTTCTGGGTTCAACCAGTTGCCTCTGAAAACTCTCACTCTCTCTTTTTTTTTTTTTTTTTTTTTTGAGACAGTCTTTCTCTGTTGCTCAGACTGGAGTGCAGTGGTGCAATCACGGCTCACTGCAGTCTCCACCTGCTGGGCTCAAGTGATCCTCCCACATCAGCCTCCTGAGTAGCTGAGATCACAGGTGTGCACCACTATGCTTGGCTAATTTTTTTTTTTTAACATTTGCAGGGACATGGCCCTGACACGTTGCCCATGTTGGTCACAAATTCCTGAGCTCAAGCGATCTTCCTGCCTTGGCCTCTCAAAGTGCTGGGAATGCAGGTGTGAACCACTGTACCGAGCCTGAAAACTATTTCTGTGTTTGACTTTCTTTAAGATTAGACCTCAGATTCAGGATTAAACAGAATCAAGCCAACAAACAAACAAAGCCTTACTGATTAATAGGGTGCCTTTTCTTTCCAAACTTCTTTGAACCCACAAATACTCATCTTGCTTTAATGGCTCATGGAATAAGAAAGGCAGACAAAGGAGATGACAGTAAAAATAACAGATAGTTGATATGCTTCTAATTCTTCCAAATTGGTCTATTTTGTTATGTTTTCCCCATTTGTCAGGCCTACATTTTAGGAAGTCCAGTAAAGACACAAAGGATGGCTAACCCATCATTCCTAGGGTCATTTATGAGTATTAGGTTTGTTTATTCACACATATGAAGAAAAGTTGTTCAAATGAAAGTGTTTAGGAAATGTTATATATTTTTTTCAGGTACATAATATATTCTTACAGTAAACCTGATAAAATTACTCAGGGTGAGGGGGGCAATAAAAAGCTATTTAAAAACTCTTTATAATATTTGGAATAAACTTGTTTTTTACTAGTAAGAAGAAAATTAGTTTGCAAGTCATATTGTAAAGGAAGTGTATATAGAAATTATTTATTCATCCATAGCACCACAGTGGTATGTAGAATTCATACAAAAGACAGATAAGATGTAGAAACATAAGGTTAAAAAATAACTTGACTAAGATTTGTGCAGAACCCAGGCTCAAATAATCATATGTCTTGCCCTTAGATCCTATAGGCATGAGATATAAAGCCAGTTAGGAAGATGGGAGCTTTTTCCACATGAAATATTATAGATATGACATAATACCTGACTAGAACTCCAGGAGCTCTCATTTACAAAACATTTATGTATTAGATGACTTTTTGCTAAATTTTTGCAAAATATTAATGAAGATTGCCAATGCCCTTTACTTATGATAAAAACATACCACATACAAAACTTGACAAGACATGCTAGATCGATAGTCCAGAAATTAGAGGCACATTGTAATTCATGAGAGAACATTTATACTTGACCTCAGTAGGAGGGGCCAAATTAAGTACTACTTACTACCAACACCACCTTAAGGGTCAGAGTTTTAGTTTTGGATCCATGCTTTCCACTGCAGCTGAAATGAATATGCAAATGCTGAGGATATATGATAGCAACTTCTCTGTCAAAAAAGAAGACAGCCTATCAGAATATAACCAGTTTTTGCATTTTTTGTCTTAGCTACTGTGGTCATTGCAACTGGTAGACCATTCTTCCATGACAGTGGAGTTGTCATCATATTCCTTCTACGATTTTATATGAATAAAGATCACATTATTGTATATTAAAAACCATGCTTATTACTGTTGGTTTTGGTACCATGCCTACTCTGGAATAAGTCAAGTATACTGCCCAACTCTTGAGCATTAAGTCAGCACTATTCTATGTTGAAGGATATAGTATCTGTAATGAACCTGGCTGCATTTAAATTAACCCTGTCAAAGAATACAGTGCACTCAAGTTTCAATAGTCTATGCTTTTTAAAAGAAGAACCCACTACAGAAGAATCAACAAAATGACTCTTCTGGATCATGCTTTTAGAGCTACATCACTACAAATTATAGATCCCCATCCATGGTGTCAGGCACAACATGAAAGAAATTTCTGAACGGAAATAATACTGGTGAATAACTTTTCCAATGTATACAGCCTATCAAAAAATCAGGGAGCTAAAATGCTTACGTTAAATCTTAAAAATATATTAATAGATACTGCCAATTGTCAAAATACAACAAAAATAGTGGCTATTCAAGCTATGTTTCACAGATCACATGGCTCTAGGTTACTCTAGCTATTAAAGGAGTGCGTACCCTCATTGGAAAGAAAGCTGCACACATATTCTAGATGAGTTAAGAGGGTATCCATGACCTGGCTAATTACAACATAATTCATTTTGGTACTTGAGTTCTGAGGTCTGCTAGGAAACTGGGAAGAAAGACTGTACGAGACACACAGATAATTCCATTTGTGCAAGTAGTGCTAATAAAATGTGACTTCCTTGCACTATTAAATACCCCAAATCTTGCTTTATCGAGATGGCATATGATTATTTACTTATTCTTCTTCTTGTTCTGTCACCCAGGCTGGGGTGCAGTCATGCAATCATAGTTCACTACAGCCTTAAACTCCTGGCCTCAAGTGATCCTCCTGCCTCAGCCTCCCAAGTAGCTGAGACTACAGGCATGAATAACCACACCCAGCTAAGATGACATTAAAATTTTTAAATGCATCTACAAATAAAACTTAGGATTTATGACAAAGGTAACAATGCAGTAATATGAAGAAAGGATAATAATCTTTTTTCACAAAATGGTGTAAATGGTGCTATATGAATTGTACATCCACACAGGAAAAGAATATTGGGTCCACTGATACCTTACAGCATACACAAAACTAAATTTCAGTCAATTGCAGATCTAAATATAAAATGTAAAACTAACAATCTTAGAAGAAAATATAAAAGAATGCCTTCAGTCACCATGGAGTATGCAACGATTTATTAAACAGAACACAAAAAGCATTAACCACCAAATTTTAAAACTGGAAAAATTGAACTATATTAAAATTCATGCTTGGTGTCAAAAATCACCATTAAGAAAGGGAAATATCAATCAATAGACAAGAATGATATTCATTACAAATATATCTGACAAAGGACTTATACCCAGAATATATTTTTGATAAAACTCAAAAATTAATGTGAAAAAGACACACAAGTAGAAAAATGAGCAAAAAAATCTGAGCAGCCATTTACAAAAGAGAACACAGTATGGCTAATAAGCATATAAAGTGCTCAACTTTACTACTCATCAGTGCAATGCAAATACAACCACAGTGTAATACTTCTACCCCTACAAAAGAATGGCTAAAATAAAAACAATGGGGAAATAGCAAATGCTGTTGAGAAGGTGGAGCAACCACTCTGAAAAAGTGGCAGTATTTATAAAAGTTGAACATCATTATATTCAATGACCCAATAATTCTAATCCTAGATAAATATGCATTTGTTCCAACTAAAGACAAGTCTAGAATGTTCAGCTACCCTAGGGGTACTATTCCCAAACTGAAAATGACAAAATGGCCAGTAACAGTAGAATTGATAAAAAAAATTGTGACATATTTAGGCAATAGAATATCAAACAAGGAAGAATATAAAGAACCCTCAGCTATACACGAGGTGGCTGAAACTTACAAAGAGTGACTGAAAAAACCTGACACAAAAATAATGCATGCACTATGATTCCATTTATATAAAGTCTGTCGGAAGTCTAGGTAATCGTTATTCTTGGGATGTTGGAAGCAGGTACTGGAAGGGGACAGGAGGGGGGGTTCTGGGATACAATGTTCTTTATTTTCTCTAAGTTCCTGTTATATGGGTTTCTCCAGTTTGTGAAAATTTATTCAGATGTACCCAAATCAAAAAGTTAAAACTGAAACAAAAATAATAATTGCAATGGATCGCGTTATTTAAAACAAAGGCGACCACAATGAACTCCTCTCTCCCCACCCCCTAACCCCTGCGCACGCACACGCACAATGAAGCGAAACCTCATTGGCTGGGATCAGTGACGCACTTCTGAAAGCCGCAGTTTGGCACCATCTTTTCCATCTCCTGCTCCTTCCGCCTTCCCGCCATCCGCCCTCCACACGATTCAGCCCGGTGGTGTTAGCCCCCTGGACTCGATTCCTGAGGCAAACAGTGCCCCTTAAGGTCGGCGACAGCCTCTTCTGGGTTCACTGCAGTCCAACCGGTTCCCTACCCTCTGCCATTATGAACATCCGCAACGCTCAGCCAGACGACCTGATGAATATGCAACACTGCAACCTCCTTTGCCTTCCTGAGAACTACCAGATGAAATACTATTTATATCATGGCCTTTCCTGGCCCCAGCTTTCTTACATCGCTGAGGATGAGGACGGGAAGATTGTGGGCTATGTTCTGGCCAAAATGGAGGAGGAACCAGATGATGTCCCGCATGGCCATATCACCTCACTGGCCGTGAAGCGTTCACACCGGCGCCTCGGCCTGGCCCAGAAGCTGATGGACCAGGCCTCCAGGGCCATGATAGAGAACTTTAACGCCAAATACGTGTCTCTGCACGTCAGGAAGAGTAACCGGCCAGCCTTGCACCTTTATTCTAACACCCTCAACTTTCAGATTAGTGAGGTGGAACCTAAATACTATGCAGATGGGGAAGATGCTTATGCTATGAAGCGGGATCTCTCGCAGATGGCAGATGAGCTGAGACGACAAATGGACCTGAAGAAGGGCGGGTATGTGGTCCTGGGCTCCAGGGAGAACCAGGAGACCCAGGGCAGCACACTTTCTGATTCTGAAGAGGCCTGTCAGCAAAAGAACCCGGCTACCGAAGAAAGTGGCAGTGACAGCAAAGAACCTAAGGAGTCTGTGGAGAGCACCAACGTCCAGGACAGCTCAGAAAGCTCGGATTCCACCTCCTAGAGCATGCTTAAGGTATTCTGTCTTCCCTGACCCAGTACCCCCTTCTCCTAAATCCCTGCATCCTGCCTTGGCCTGCCCAATTCCATCCTGTCTTACCCCATTCTGGCCCTGCGAGATTTTACGGTAAAAACCACCTGGTGACCTTAGGGAGAAGTTAGAGTGAGTTGAGGGAGACTCATTACACGCTATTGGAAGTTAAATAGGATACCAGCTCATGCTGAAAGTAGATTAATTTCAATGAAGAAACAAGCATTTATCCTGCTTTTTGGGCATGAGTTGTATTTCAGGGTAACCACGTAGTTGATGAAAGGCATTTTTTTCTTTATGGAATTCCAGTTAGTAATAATGATAGAAATATAAAATCATCATTTTCCAACTCTTGATGAAATAATGGACCCAGCCAAGAGTCATCAATGGCTAATAGCATTAGGTAAAAGTTGGAGCACTTTGTAATGATGGATCAGACTGACAACACTTGAAGTCAGTGTAGTCAGTCTTCACTAAACGTGGAGACAAATATGTGTCTCCTTATGCAACAGGAAGTGCACAGTACTACCTATGAAATATTCTTTCCAAAAGAAAATTATGAGATCTGACTACCATTTTACAGAAAATAGAGGGACTTGTTAAACTATACCATGATGCAAACAGCCAAATCCAGAATGAGAGGTTTTTACAAAACAAATGACCTGGTTTCTTCAACAAATAAATGGCACACACACAAAAAAAGATGAAGCATTTTCTGTTAAACTTTACAGATACATTAAACTCAACTGCTATGGACATTGTTTGGATACTGATTCAAACAAACCATGTATAAGACATTTTTGAGATAATCAGGCAAAATTTGAACGGGGACTATATTAAGGAATTACTAATAATTTTATTAGAGGAGCTAAATGGTATTGTATTATGTTTAGAAAGTCCTTATCTGTTAAAGATACATACAGAAATAATTATAGCTGAAATAATAGGATGCCTAGGATTTCCTTTAAAATAATCCAGCAAAAAAAGAAGAAAAAGATTGAAAGAGGGAAAATGAAATAAGAATGGCAATGATAATTGTTGGGTTGGGAAATGGGTACTTAGGGGGTTCCTTATGCCATTTACTCTTTCGAATGTGTGAAAATTAGCATGAAAAGTTAAAGAGCCAAAACAATTACTGTACTTTTTTTTTTTTTTTTTGAGACAGAGTCTCGTTCTGTCGCCCAGGCTGGAGTGCAGTGGCGCGATCTCGGCTCACTGCAACCTCCACGTCCTGGGTTCAAGCTATTCTCCTGCCTCAGCCTCCCAAGTAACTGGGACTACAGGCGCCCGCCACCTCGCCTGGCTAATTTTTGTATTTTTGTATCTTTTTTTCTTTTTTTGAGATGGAGTCTAGCTCTGTCGCCGAGGCTGGAGTGCCGTGGCACTGTCTTGGCTCACTGCAAGCTCCGCCTCCCGGGTTCACGCCATTCCGCTGCCTCAGCCTCCCGAGTAGCTGGGACTACAGGCGCCTGCCACCACGCCTGGCTAATTTTTTTGTATTTTTAGTAGAGACGGGGTTTCACTGTGTTAGCCAGGATGGTCTTGATCTCCTGACCTCGTGATGCGTCCGCCTCGGCCTCCCAAAGTGCTGGGGTTACAGGCATGAGCCACCGTGCCCGGCCTAATTTTTGTATTTTTAGTAGAGACAGAGTTTCAGCATATTGGCCAGGCTGGTCTCGAACTCCTGACCTTGTGATCTGCCTGCCTCAGCCCCCCAAAGTGCTGCGATTACAGGCGTGAGCCACCGCGCCCAGCTCTTGTACTTCTTAATACACACTTATGCTAATACTAAGAAACCACTGAAACTAAGTTTTAAAGGATTGGTATGTTAGAAACAACTTAATTGTAATAATATACCACAGTATTTCTTCCATCAAAGGACTTTGTATCGCCTTAGGAATTTCAAGGGTCGGTGAGCTACTGGCAGTTTACAGGCTTTAACATCTTAATCTAGTCACCTTACCCTTACATGTATGAAAGGCAGCAACTTCTCATGGCAAAGTCTAGTCATAAATAGTGTATTCTGTATATAATTTCAGTAAGTGCTATTTGATTAGTCTACTCATTCATAAAAATATTTGTCAGGCATTAGGCTTGGAGCTGAGTATACAGCAGTGATCAAGACAGACTGATGTTTATATTATATAGCATTTAAGAATAAATGGACTTTTTTTTTGCATTTTAATGCCAAAACCGAAGCTATAACACACTAATCCCATTTTATTTTCATTCAGTTACAGTTCAGTATGTTATAAAAATTTAGATACAGTAAGTCTTTGGTGGTTAGAAAGAATCTGTCCTCAGAGGAGATTTTGCATCTGACTTTTAATAACCTGAAAGTTTCACAGTGACTGATTCATTTTTTCTAAAAAATAAAGCCGGCAGAACAGTCTAAAAGCAAAGATGAAATTAAAACTTGATGCCTTGAGAAAGCGTTGTCAAATTTACACCTGTCTTGAAAACCCTGGAGGGCTCTCTCAAGACTCTTTGAATGCACAAACCTTTTAAAAAAAATTTCAACTTTCAAATTCCTTCGTAGAAGGACTTACACAGTATTGATCTCATCTTTGTAGTTATTTGCTTCTCTTCATTGTTAAACTCTAGCTGAGAACAGAGCTAATCAGAGGTTGTTTTAAAACCATATATATATATATACACACACACACACACACACCTATAAAACTGATGAATTCAAAAGCACTTAATATCTGCTATGAGAAACAAAATAACTGCCACTGTAGTAAAAGAAGAGAGAAATAATAAATAAGAAAATTCATTGTTGTGTCACAGTTATAAATTTCAGCATACAAATTCAAGAATAATTGAACTGTTTCTTTATGATACCGTAATTGAACTTTATTTCTAAGTTGAAGGAAATGTTTCCTAGACTGAGCTTCACCGTCTTTCTGAGTTGTTATCTGCTGAGACATATTCAATGGCCCCATCCAATCTTTGATCCTCAGGATTCACTTCTGGGTCTTTTCCAACCGGAGGTCTCTTACCATTTTGGTAGCAAGGGTATATGAGTATTAGTCTGCACAGGCTAACTGCTCTAAAAATTAACTTCCAAATCTCAGTAACTTAACCCAATAAAATCTTATTTCTCACATCATAGTACAATGTGGGTCATCAGTGTGGTGGTGATGTGGAGTAGAGGGGAAAAGATGGACCCTACTCCATGGTATCATTCAGGGATCATTTAGACAGGGATTCTTAATTTTCTGTAGCTCCCTTTGGCAATCTGGTGAAGCAGAAAAATTTTTAAAAGATGTAAAAATTATACCAGATTACAAAGGAAAACAATTTCATTGATATAGTTATCAAACTATTTTAAAAATACTTTTGTTGTAATATATGTGCTTTGTGTTAGCATATTGAATAGCCTAATAATTACTATTATTTCAAAGTAAATTTTAGTATAAATGATATTTAAGATACCTTAAGTATCTATAATGTGATATGAAAATACCTATGAGTTTTATTGGTGACAAAGTCTCAAGTATTGCTAATACTACTGTGCATTGATTCCTATGTTCATAATTTAAAGAATTGCCAGATTTCAGTTAGAGGTTGATGAAAATACAGAATTGTTTTTGTTCCAAATCCAAGGTCATGGTTCTCCTACATCTTATTAAATAGATCCCAGGTTAAGAACTCCTAATTCAATGACTCTTGTCATTTTCTAGGATCATAAGACCTTCAACTGGTTCATATACATTCAACTAGCAGATGAGAGAAAAGAATGTATATAGTGGTTAATAAAGGTTTTAAAAGTCAAGTCTTACCCAACTAACTGCAGGGGAGGCTATGATATTTAGTTTAGCTTTGTGCTCAGGAAAGAAAGGAAGGAGTTCAGCAACAACACAGCATAGTTTCTGCCACAATAGGAAACATCCTAGTGGTGCTCTGGACTTTGAGAAGTTTTGCTTCCATGCCCAGTTAGAAGCAATGGGATCATACAGCTGCTCTCACTCCATGGCATGGCCCAGGGAACTCTGTTAGGCTGTCTGAGGTTGTCTACATAAACACCTGACATATATTTATTCTGCTGCTTCACAAACTTGGGCGTGGAAAACTATGGGATTCTGTTATCTTGCTGCCATTATGCCACTAATTAAACCTGGGACAAATGACCCCTCTCCTCTGAAGTCCCCAAAACTGTCTAAATCTTCACTTGCATCCCATTTAATAGGGATTCACCAGCACATAGGTCTAGCTCCCTGAATGGAGAAAGGCTACAGTGAAGAAAGAAAGAACAGGAAAAACATTTAAAAGGCTCATACTGCAAAAGTACTATCCTTCTACAATTGTGGTGCTCCCTCCTGTGGAGCTGGAGTTCAAATACCTATAGAAAAAATGTCCTAAAAAAAATATTTTTCATTTTCCCTATCTGTACTTTTGGATTTGGGAACAGAGACAGAGTTAGAAGTGATGCTGAGCAGGACAGTTGGTGAAGAACTGGTTGATTTCATCTAAAAAATGGTAATAAAAATTGCTCTTCACACTATGAAAACGCACTGTTTTGCAGGTATTAATTCTAAGCACTGTTAATGATGTGTTTCATTTATTCCTCATAATAAGCCTGTGAGGTAGGTACTATTACTCCATTTTGTGGTTGAGGAAATCATGTCACAGGGAGGGCTGCATGTTATACAGATAGTGGAAAACAAGGATGCAAACTCAGGTGGTCAGACTCCATGATTGAGAAGATTAAATGAGTCAATCTATGTAAATTGCTAAGCACAACTCCTCACACACAGTAAAATAATCAATAAATTTTAGCTCTTAATATAATCGATAGTAAGAGTAACTTTTCAGGTTCTCTTCTTCTCCACGGTAATCAAATGATAGAATGTTGTGTATGAGCAGCAACAGTTTGCAATCTTGGATGGGAAATGCATCTTAATGATTAAAATAGCTTTCACTGACAAGCTAAATGTCAAAGCATTCAGCTGAATCAACGCTTGTCAACGGCAGAGTTTCTTGGGAGCCATAGCAATGAAGACAGGTCAGTTCAAAACATGCTGGTTGAGGCAGGAATGTCATCAAACTGCTGCTTATCTCTTGACAAGAAATATGTGCTTGATTATTAATAACAAAAATGAAAAAAATGCAAAATCTTAGTGTTTTCAATTGAGCTGGCAACATTGAGTTAAGTAAGGTTACTTCAGTGACTCTCCCTTTCTGGTTTATTCTTTGTGTCGCTAAACTGTCATTCTAACAAAAAGTTGTTAAATGTTCACATGAGCAGTCACTGAAATAGACTGTTCTTAATTTTACCAGACAACTAATTATAACTGGAATGATATAATGAAATATGGAAGAAACCTACAGACTGACAGGTCTGGTAAATTCGTAGTATAACCTTACCCCAGATATGCCAGAAACCATAGATTTCAAATGCAACTGCACTCTATGAAGATAAAGAGGGGGTTGGGAAGAGATAAAATATTGTTTTGAAATACTAATCAGATAGATGCCATTTGTTGAATTATTTATAATCTCTAACAATGTCACCTTTCAATCAGTGTATGATGTACATGTAGGATGACTGAAATACCAACTTTGTCAGAAGTAACTGATAAAAGCAGAGGTTTTTCCTAAATTTTGTACTCTATGCTCTAGTATATGAAATCCAATGGGCTTTATGGTACAGGAGGTTAGATAGAATATTTAAAATTCTTTGAATGGGCAATGATTCAAAGAGCCACCATAAAAGCCTTTCTGAAAATATTCTACAATGCCATTTCTATAGATAAATATCTTTGGAAAATTATAGGATTTTTTTTTAAAGTAAAGCCATAGTATTCTGTTTCATGTTTATAACACCATATCGACAAATAGCATGTATTTGTCAGGCTTCCATAGCCCACCTTTAAGAAAACCTGATAATGTAAAACTTTGAACTTAATAAGCAAGACATTAAGGGCTTGGGGTGGGCACAGCGGCTCATGCCTGTAATCCCAGCACTTTAGGAGGCCAAGGCGGGAGCTTTGCATGAGGCCAGGAGTTCAAGACCAGCCTTGAAAACATAGCAAGACCTAGTCTCTACAAAAACTAAAAAACATTAGCCAGCGTGGTGGTGTATACTGGTGCGTGCTTGTAGTCCTAGCTACTCAGGAGGCTGAGGCTGGAGGATCACTTGTGCCCAGGAGTTTGAGGCTCTTGTGAGCCATGATTGTACCACTGTGCTCCAGTCTGGGTGACAGAGCAAGACCCTGTCTCAAAAAAAGGACTATAATACTAACATTTTAAAGGGAATCTTTATGAAAAATACCTATACTCTTAAACAACAAACTATCCTATAGCCTTTATTACAGTGTTATTTGACTTTTTCAGTTTAATTTCTTAAAATTTTCAAGCAGTATTTACTGAGATAACTAAAACAGCTATATAACTTCTTTTGCATGCCTGTTCATGCAAAAATGAAAAAGGCAATGATGATAGTCTTTCTGACCTGTTCCTCCATATCTTGTGTCTCTTTTGTTATAGCAAATATACTTTAAAAAATAAGATTTTACATAGTATTACCTCTTACAACTGGCTTCACTTGTTATTCTGGCAACAGAATTTTCTATAACAATGATTTTGTACAAAAATGCTTTTTAACTGCTCTGTGCATAATAGTCAGCCTCAATCTTATTTACTTCTGTGTGCATATGATAGATGAAAAGGTACTGAGTAAATATTTATTGAATGAATGAATGAATGGACCTCTCAAATTACCCATATAATAAATTTTTTTAAAGGAGAGAAAAATAATGTATGTATGATTCCTCTTACCTGATATAATTACCTACTTCCTCTTACCTGATGTAATTAGGGCACTTTAATTTGTGAATAAAGAAACATTATGGTTATTTTGGTTTCCTGTCCAGGCCTCAGAAAGAAAATATGACTTATAGAGTTGGACACATTGCATCTAACTTATCAAGAGCTAAAAAGGCCTTTCATTTCTTTAGAATTGGAATAAATTTTCTTTTGAGTGGAGTAGGATGAGATAGAATTTAAAGATGACAAGCAAAATGATCTCAGTTTCTTTAGTTTTAAAATAGGTTCTTTGGGGGTAAATCCCAGTTTTTTGGTGTTCTTCCTGTCCCTTTCTCCTGGCAGAAATGTCCTTTAGATGTCAGGAAAGGTTCATGTGTTCTTATGGCAGGGAGGGGAGAGAGCCCCAGATCTGTGTGTGGTCTTTGTGCAGTCATCTGAATTCTCACTGACTGCCATGGAGATATATCTAGTCCAAACTAGTTACTGGGTTTCTTTATCTGCTGTTCCAGTCTATCATTAACTAAACCAGTATTCTTTCAGAGCTGTCAGAGCTTATAGCTCTCCCTTTCTCATTTGTTTTCTTCTCATTTTTCAACAGCATTTCAGGTCCTCATGTCTCAACCACATCTACTCTGTGAACCCTGGCTTAGTCTGTCTGCTCTGCAGCATCTGCTGTGGGGATCATCTCACAGTGACCAGAATGGCTTCTCACTCTTAACTCTATAAACAACCACCTTTCACATATCCTGCTGGGATCATGAAGGAATACCTGGACACAAGAGCCACTGCACAACAGCCAAGGAACTTTGAGACCTGCCATTACAGAACCTTTCTTGGCCTACTCACACTACGCTGCCATTTTATTCTGTTTGTAGTAGTCCTCTGTTGGGTGTGGTTATCCTGCAAGTTTTTCTCCTTTTAGAATGATGAACAGGAAGCAGGGCAAACTCTTGAAGATTTCCAGCTTTCAGTTTTTGTTTTTGTTTTTTAACCATTATTTACCTGAGTTTTCATCCTTGAGGAGGTGAAGTAGTCAGGACCATGAAGTCAGACCTCATGCCCTCTTCCTCCTCTTTCCTGGAAGAAGTATTCAGTTTCCTTTTCCTTTCTCTGGTAACTCCTCCTTTATACTATTCCCCCCTCCCTTTTTTTTGAGGAGGAGGGCATCACCTTCCCAGTGGGAAAAGGTGTTAAGTTAGGAGCTTCTACTGTACAATCAGAACTTGGAGATTTTAAGAAAAGGACAAACGGTAATTAAATTGGAATCTCTAATGTGCTTGTTTGTGTTAGTTTTTTTGTGATTATGTCACTTGGCATTTATTGAGTACCTGCAGTGTTCACACACAATGCTGGAGCCTTCATTAGTTACATATTTAACCCTCTCAGCAACCCTGTAAAGTAGGTAGTATTATCCCTGTTTTACAGATGAGGAAACTGAAGCTCAGAGAAGTGAATTAAATATCCTGGATCTGAACCCAATTCTGTTTGAATTCAAAGCCAAAGTTCCTTCTACTTTTCTGTTCCTACTCTTTGCATTTTATTTATAAATGTGTTAAAATTTTAGCAAAAATGGAGAATCTGCTGTTTAAAAATGTGTTTGCTTAATACATGGCTACTGTATGTCAATTGTAAATATTTATATAACCTACAATTATAATCTATTTTTATTATTTTTCTCTAGTAAAAATAAGTGAAGACAAAGTACCTTGACCTCTGCAGTAAAAGTTACCAGATAAATCCAGAGTTATCATTACTTAATGTTGTTTTTATGTTCACTGAATGTGAATTACCAAAGTATATAACATTTTTCATGTTTAAACTTTTATGAAAACTGGTGTGTATGGATTTAAGTCAAAGCCTGGACTTTATCTGGTGACAAGAGGTAAGTCTTTTCTGTGTAATCGTAATTAGCCCTGCTAAGCAGTTCTTACAGATCTACCCTAGTGCACTCTAAGAATGTCTGCCTAATGGTAAATGATTGCCTGAGGCAGATATAAAAGTTTTTCCCTACATGAAAGGATTTGCCATTTCTTGTGCCAATACAGTATGATAAAATCTATCTTTCCATCTTTTCCTTTTTTCTTTTTAATATTCTATCTCAACGCTAAATTATTTTATTCTTTCCTCTCAACCATGTGTTTATCTCTTTATTTTTAAATATTACAGCTTTCTAACATCTGTCTCTAGGGCAGCATAATCTTACTGATGAAGTATTCCATGTTTTCCTTGAGCTTTTGTCAATATGTCTTTGTGTTAACAGCTTAGCAGATGGAGAAACAGAAGGAGTAGCCTCAGCTTACCTGAATGATTTTTTTCCAGCACCAGGCACATTGACTTGCTGTCTCTAGTAACTTGATAGGAGTTGGAGCAATTGGAAAATGGGAAATGATATATGACTTCTGCAGTGTTATTTACTAAAACAATTGGCATTTCTTTGTTATCATTATATCTTCTTTCCCAGTCTCGTACCAGGAGAAAGCAGAATTATAGCAGCCTATCTGGTTTGGGCTATAATGAAAATAAAATAAACAATAATACTAATATTGCTTTGGGCATAGATTAGCATGTTCATAATGGTTCCAGGACAGTAGCGGTGATTTAGCAGCAGCAGTGGCTTTTTGAAACACAAATTGTGAGAGTCTGTGGCACCATTTTTTTTGTAATAGCATTGTTCTTTTTACACAGGAAAAGTGATTTTTTTTTTTTTAATTCTGAAGGGACTTTTTACTGAGGCACAGTCCTAGAGAGAGCAAAGCAAGGCTTTGAAGCAAGGAGGGAGGACAGTTAATGGTGTGAATACCCTTATACTAGCTATATTTTATTCACTTGCAGCTTTAAATAAACTGGATGTGCTCAGGTCTGCTAGCAGATTATTTAAAGATATTGATCAGCTCACTACGTTTTCTTTGGTTAAAAGAGGAAAACTTGTGAATGAAGCCTGTGAGTTCCTAGTTAGAGTCTGTGTGGTTTTCCCTTTGGAGATAAGAGCAAGAAGCGAGAGATGACCATCTGAAATAAAAATAATGGGGTGTGGATATATGGGAGAAATGGGGAATAGTACTGGGAATTAGTCCACAGCCAGGAAAATTTAGAAAGGATCAGGACTGAAACACTGGAAAGAAAGTTTTCTTTATTTTTTATGTGCAGCTAAGTCATTTGGTTATTATGTTAAAAAATGCAGATTTTTTTTTTTTCAGTATGTCTGGTGGGGCCTGAGTATCTGCATTTCTAACTAGTTCCTACATTGCTCATGTTGCTGGTCCCGGAACCACACTTTGACTAGTAAGGGTCTTAAAGCTCATCTCCAACCCTTGGACTGGGGTCCAAAACACCTGTGACTATCCATTAGGTCATTTAATAATAGATTAGACCCTAAATAATTCAGATTCCCCTTCTTAAATATACATTTACATAAATCCTGTTTGAGTTTATGTCTTGATGGCCTAATAATTTCAATAAAAATAGAGTTTGTTAAAAACGTGTACAACAAAAAAGTGTATATAGTATAAAATGTATTGATAATATTATATCTATTAGGATGCTTTGATATAACAATTTTGCCTCATTGGCTTCTAGGCAAGTGAATGGTGTATGAGGTTTTTAAAAGTTTCACTTCTAATTCTCACTCAATTTATCGTGTTCATTGGTTGATGAATTAGCTCAGACACTGAAATTGTTTTCCATGCTGACAACATTTGACAGGATTTGAAAAAGACTACTGAGTCTTTTTTTTTTTTTTTTTTTTTTTAATTTTAAGGAGCAGCAGACCTATGTATGGGTTCAGGTGGTCTAATAGAGATTTTCCATCCGGGGATAAGAATTTCTAGCCTATTGTTTCTCAAAGTATAGTTCATATGCTTAGTGCATCGGAATCACCTGGGTGCTATGTTAAAAATGCAGTTTCTTTGTCTCTGGCTCAGACTTAAAAAATCAGTCCCGTATTTTTAACAACCCTCCAGGTGATTGTTTTGCACACTGTCATCTGAAAATCACTGATCAGTACAAGGCGTTGAATTCTTCATAAAGATAATATGAAGGGAGCTTTTTTCCATGTTAATACTCTCCAGACAAATTAATTCATCAAAAGAAGCAAATAATTCAGAGGAGATATAACAAAATTTTGTTTATTATAAAACATATGGGAAAGGGTGAGATGGTATATGGGAACTCTGCTCAACTTTCTGTAAAAACTGTTCTAAAAATAATTTGTAAATTAAAAATATTTTAAAAGTACGTGTGAACATTCGACACACATTCTTCCATATGTGTTTTACATAAATGTGAGATCATGTATGTTATTTTTTAGGGCTTTTTTGGTCATTACTTTCTTCCTCATCCTTTCTTTTCAAGCAAACAATAGCTACAACTTGGCAATGGCAGTATACAGCACAAGCCTGAAGGATGAGAACATTCACAAATCACACCATGAAATTTGTCCCAATTTGTTTCCAGAGCAAAAATCTCAAATTCTGCAGTGTCTTGTTAGGAACCAGACACCTAGCATGTCTGGAACCACGTCCTTCCATCCATGTCATTAGCTCCTCATATCCCATCACCATCTGGGCATCTTGAGTTAGAACTTTTAAGAACACAGTACCCAGCCAAAATCCAGTGAAACAGACTAAGTGACTTATCAAGGTCCTTTTTTATATTAATACTTTTCCCTAGACATGAATGCGTCTTTGAAATCCAGTAAGACACAGATCATTTCCTTGAGGTGCACTTGAAGGGTTATTTAAACACCATGTTTCCTTATTAGGGCGTGGGAATTACGTTTTGTGAAGTTCTGGGGAAAAAAACTCTTTTCATTTTAAATCATACATATATTGCTTTCCTAACCAAAATTAAGATAGATTTCACACCTTTGGAATGGTGTCATCACCTCAACTGCATTTCACAGGCGCTTACCTAGAGAACACAGTCCTTAGCAAGTTGAGCAATTTTCACAAGAGGTGGTTCAATAGAGTGAGAAGACACAGAGTGCGGAGTCCAACAGCTTAAATTTTAGTCCTAGTTTGGCTTATGACCACGTGGATATCCTCTAGCACATCAGTTTTCTCATTTACAGAATAGAGATAAAAATAACTTTTGTGCTTTCAGGGTTATTGTGTAATGAGTTAGTGTAAAAAAAAACCTGCATTGTAATTTGTAAAAAATGTTACTGTAAACATTTTTACTTTTAGACATTTTTACCCCTCAATTTAAACTGGTGTAGAGTAACAGTGATCATTTTTTTTTTGTTTCCTCTTTAATGGTCCAGAAAAGAACCAGTGTTTCAGAGAATGTATTATCAAACAATAACTATGTCAGCAATGACAAATATATGCATGTATGTGGACATTTTAAGGGATAAAATATGGAGAAGGTGAATTCCTGTAAATATAGCAAGCCAACTTTCTATACATTCATTTGAAAAGAAAAGACTCAATAAAAGTTACCTTTTACTCTCTATGACCTAAGCATTCATATGTAATATATTTTTCAGGTAAAGCGAACTGTACTTAATCTCCTATTTACATGGTTTTGAATAAAGGAATTCACACAAACACACATACACACAGTGACCAAAATTTTTACATATTCGAAAACTTCAGTAAACTGGCTGGGCGTGGTGCCTCATACCTGTAATCCCAGCTAATCAGGAGGCTGATGTGGGAAGATCTCTTGAGGCCAGGAGTTCGAGATCAGCCTGGGCAGCCTAAGCAAGACCCCAACTCTTTTTTTTTTTTTTTTTTTTTTTTTTGAGATGGAGTCTCTCTCTGTCACACCCGGGCTGGAGTCCAGTGGCACAATCTCAGCTCACTGCAACCTCCACCTCCCAGGTAATTCTCCTGCCTCAGCCTCCCGAGTAGCTGAGACTACAGGTATGTGCCACGACGCCTGGCTAATTTTTGTATTTTTAGTAGAGATGGGGTTTCACCATGTTGGCCAGGCTGGTCTCAAGTTCCTAACCTCAGGTGATCTACCCGCTTTGGCCTCCCAAAGTGCTGGGATTACAGGCATGAGCCACTGCGCCCGGCCAAGATCCCCAACTCTTAAATAAATAAATAAAACATTAGTAAACCATGATAGTACATTAGGGCAAGCATCTGGTTGGTTTTTCATTACCAGAACTCTAACGAGAGTGTTAAGTCTGGCTTTTATTCCTGAAAGCTGGTACACAAATTAAAAGTTTGACTGTTTGTTAAATAATAAATGTTATAAAGAATTTTGAAAAATCACGTACTCTCTTGTATAAGGAGGTCTTTAATAAACAAATATTTCTAATTGCTCCTTTGGCAATCAAGACGTTTTTGCATCCTGGGACAGTGTCGCTTAGTAAGATTCCCAGTGGGTGAGAGGTACATCTCTTTTGTAAAGTGGCAGATAGATTAATGTGAAAGAAAGGTGAGAAAGAGGCAGCCCCATAGAACTGCTCTTAGGCAGATCATTTTAGAAAGGCATACATATGGAACTTGAGAATGCAGAATTTGAGTTCCTTAAAAATTACTCATGTCTGTGTAGCCCTTGAAAGGCAATAATCTAATATATATTTTTCAACATTTAATACATGTTCTTTAATTTTATTATCTTCTTTATAATTGTTGGGGATGGGGTAGATTAAGCTTGTATCCAGTAGGTATTTAAGCTGAAACGTCACAGCTTTTGTGTGTCTAATTAGCATCATTGCCTCAACTGCATTGAGTTAATAGGTAGTAGTATCACAGAGGTTAAACTCATTCACTCTAGATTATACCTAGAGTTATACCCTAAGGTACCTGCTTTGGAAATGTTGAAATATGTAATTGCATATACCTTGCTTTATAAAGATAGCAACCCTATCAAAACTAAATCCTTGGCAGGCTAATAGGAGCGCCATGAAATAACCTGAAATTGTCATTTGTCAGCAGATGATAGAAATCTGAATTCAGAGTTAGAAAGCTGGTTTAGGAGTGACAATGTATGAAAGAGAAAATTGTCAGCTGTTAGAAAGTCAAAGATGCTATTTTTATAAAGGCAAGGTGAAAAAAAGACTTTATGACAGTTGTATTGGATCCTCTGTTTGTTCAAGAAAAAAAGTATTTTTTATTACTGACTTGAATTTTATTTTCATAATGTAAAGTAGTTGTTATAATAATTGGGTACCCTGAATAATGAAAACAGACTGTATTTATAGTTTAAATTTTTGCATGCCAGTACAATTCTTATTAAAAGACATTTGGGTCAGTTTTGCTAAAAAACAGAAGCTCCTGTCTTTAATGAGGAAAAAGCATAATAGTGGCTTATCTTAGAATGTAAAGCTTTTGAAATCACCCTGTAATTCATGGCTTATCCCTGAGAATTCAAAGCTTTATAAATTATAAACCTTTCCAGGACACCATACACACTGTCTTAAGTCAAATAGCGCTGGACTAAGCCAAAGACATAAATGAATTCTTCACTCATCCCTGGTGCTCAGTATTATTATTTTCTAGCTTACATTATACACCCTGGCCAAAACTAGAATTCTTTCAAAATAAGCCACACTCCCATATCACCTTTTCACTTCCTTTTCTCTTTCTGCTACTTCTTCCCATAGTTAAATCTATCGGTCAATAAAACCTACATTATAGCTGGTAATAAGCAACTTTCATAAATTATTAATAACTGGCAGACTTGCTCCTATAAATAATATTTAGATGTAATTCAAATAAACCTCCAGTTGGTAGGTTAAACCTACCTAACCAAAACCATTCTTACTCTACCTGTTTCAAGATCTAAACTGGGACTCTGTGGGGTGTCCTGCCATCTTGAGCCACAGCTTTCAAAAGAAAGGAAGGAGGCATTTTCTGTCTATAAGCAAGTGCGGGAATTAAGGTGCTAAGTAAACGAGCATTGTTGTATTTGAACCCCTGAAGCTTTCTTTTCTGCATTTTTCTTCCAGTACCTTCTTGTTTCTTCTATATCTTCAGCAATTCTAAAGTCTTAATTTCCACATCCACAAAATAGGTGTAAGTATAAGGTTGCTTTAAGGAACTGTAGAGTTGTTGCGAGAGTAAAATAAGGAAATTCACAGAAATAAACTGATAACCAGAAAATATTAAGGGTACCAAAATATTGTTTCATCCACTTCCTTTTTAGTTGTTGAGTAAACATTTTAATAAGCCTAATCATTCCAATACGTGTTTTTATGTTTGAATATTATTTTTTGGCAGAAAGATGACTGAGTGATCATAGATTGTTTTTGTCTTTCCAGTTTTTTCTCCATTCTCTAATTTGTCTCTGAATGTGCCCAGGCAATAGCAGGTGCTCAAGTAAAAGCACGAATGAATGAAAATGAGTGGTTCACAGATGAGGAATAATTGAGCCAATAAAAATTATAATGAATCCCATTTTATATCAATAACGATAGAATAGGCAGGGTGCGGTGGCTCACGCCTGTAATCCCAGCACTTTGGGAGGCTGAGGTGGGCGGATCACGAGGTCAGGAGATCAAGACCACCCTGGCTAACACGGTGAAACCTCGTCTTTACTAAAAATACAAAAGATTAGCCGGGCGTGGTGGCGGGCGCCTGTAGTCCCAGCTACTGGAGGGGCTGAGGCAGAAGAATGGCGTGAACCCGGGAGATGGAGGTTGCAGTGAGCCGAGATTGTGCCACTGCATTCCAGCCTGGGCGACAGAGCGAGACTCCATCTCAAAAAAAAAAAAAAAAAAAGAAAAAAAAAAAACACCAATAGAATAAGAATTCTTTTCAAACAATAAATACTACGTTAAGAAGAAAACACTCCAGTGCTGTTTTATGCCAATAGTGAAGTATTTCTATTTCCATACCCTGTTTTCAATTCTAAAAAAACAAATATCTTCCTAACATATCCTTGGACAAAAGGTAAAAATAAGAGGCACAGGTAAATAGAGAACACATCAAATCTCTTAATCAAGATGTGTTTTACCAAATATAATAGCAAACAATAAGCAAACATGATGATTACCAGGGAAATCCTGAGCATTGCAAATCCAGTTTTCAGTTGGAAAATACAGCTAAAATAACATATGAAATGCTTTGAAAATACCACAGTACAATGTGATTTTCATCAGTGTTTATGTTTTTGAAAGGAAAAAAATGGCTGAAGTATTATTTTAGTCCATGTGCAAAGCAAATTCTGTTTTGTCTGTTAAAAAAATAAATGAGCAATAATCTCCAAGAAATCATCTTGACCAGCATTAATGACTAGTTTGGTAGTTAACAGCCCGAGGCATAGCCAGAGGCTATTAAGGCTCTGGGGGAAAGAAAAGGTTGGTAGATTGTGGTTTACCAGTAATTAACTATAGGTATGAATCAAAACTTCCTAAGAAAAGAGATTTAAGTTACTTTGGATTATTTTATGTGTATGCTTATCTTTTCATACATCCCCCTCCCACACCTTTTCTAATAGGAAAAGAAGATGATGCCATTATTTCACAAACCAAGTTGAATTGGAAATAATTCATGTAATGAAACAGGAAACACATGGGACCAATTAATGCCTTTTCAAGCTTGGACTATATAACTATAAGAAGCACTTAAAAAAAAACTCAGTCTAACACATTAGTTGATTGTTGGTGAAATGAAACTCAATCATGAGATCATAAGGATTTTTTGAAGCTTTTTTTTTAGTTTTTAATCCTATCTCAATAAAAGTAAATACATAAGGATTACACATAAACCAAATCTGAAGTAATATAGATTGGGGGAACCTCAAGAGGGTCAGGAGATAATGAAGATTATACCTCAATATTGGGATTATGATGTTAGTTCTTTATTTCAATAAAAGTGGATAGAGATCTTTCATATCAGGGACAGGGCTTAGCTGTAAGGACGAAAGTAATCTTCCGGGAATTATGCATACAGGCTTGACATCATTTTTATTGGATGGCTGATGAACTGGAAAACTCCAGGATAGCCAGGCTTTAATTTGTAATCTTAATTTTCATATAAATCGGTACATTTCAGGGGGAGGCAGAGGGGGATGTGGGGACATTGATGCTTGCCGGCCTTGTGGTAATAAGACAGCTCTGAAGCACAGGCAGCAGTACTAACTCATCCAGTATCTGATTCTGTCTTTTCCTCTATCCATCTGTCTTCCATCTTTGCATCCATCATTCAACGAAATTTACAGCCTGCAAATACCAGAGAAGCTAATGTTAGTGCAATCTTCCTTCTACCTCCTCTCGGAATGATCTATAGTAATCTACTTATCATAGACATGCACACTACAATGCACAATAATTTAGTTTTCAGCCAGGAAAATGACTGCCATTGTTTTGCCAGCATACATTAATGAGGATTTTTTTCCCCTTCTTCTTCTTTTAATTTTTATAAAGGATATAGAGCATGAGAGAGCACTAGTTTCCCTTCATAAAATAATTATCTTGGTGTTTCCCATATATAATTTCATATCCATGGAATTACATAGGGGCAAAGTTATAAAGCTAGAACATAGTGGAAATTTATTTGGATATATGGAAACTTGGTCCATACATTTTCAATATAGGATCCATATGTCCTTTACATGGTCAAAGAAGTAAAATGCTGTTGAATGTTTTAGAAATATATTAAGAAAATAGAATTTTCTTTCTGGATTGTTCTAGTCTCTTACAATATAAATAAAATTAAATTGTTTGTGCAAAATTGTTCTTATCAAAGGATATTTTAGTTGAATTTGCCATAGGAAACAAGCAATATACTCCCTTCTTAGATTGTGGTTATTGTTTTGAGGTTTTATGTGTCTCCCAGCTCTGTCAGGTTTTATGTGTCTCTACCATTTGTTTTACCTTCGTCTCATTATTTTTTAGCTTTTGGGTGATTTATTATAAAAGAAGAGGAAAGATCATAGTTCCTACTCCATAATTTTTAAACCAGAAATCATATGTAGCTTTTTGATCTTCTAATAATCATGTGTATGTAAAGAACATATAAGGCTCATATTCTACCATATAAAAAAAAATCCTCAGCCAAAGCTAAAAATGCAGAACTTGTTACACATAAGAACATTTTCCAACTTCTGAGTATATCTGAATGGCTCTGGTTTTAGATTTTCCCCATGATTTAGAGATGTTTTTATTTTTCAAAGACAAATCATCTGTTCTCAAGACTGTTTTGTTTGTTTGTTTTCTGATGTCTTCCTCGATGCACAGTGTACTGAAATGTTGAGATACTACCTTCAGAGCAGAAAATAGATTCTCCCGATCATATGTTATCCTCTTATCCTCCAAAGCTCCCAATTTGCCAGTGAAGTAACATGAAAGTTGATATAGATAAATACTGTGACCGTAATCCCAGTTGGGAGCACATTCATCTCTTAAACAGTTCTGTCAACTGGGATTTATCTGCATGGAAGGCATATGAAGCATCGTTTACATAAATAACTTGGAGTTTTGGGTTGGACATATATCAGGGATGAGTAACTGCCCTGGAGTATACCTATTAAATCAACCACCAGGCTCAAACAATCAGAAAAGCTTTGACTATAGCTATACAAAACTTGATCACAACATAATCTTCCTCTGCTTCTTGATGAGGTAACAAAATATGCTGTGTTCATTGAACAGCTGCTTTCATAACGAGAGCAATAATGAAAAAATATTCCAGAACCTTCAGCACTTGCACATGAAAACAAGGTTTCCAGTGAGAAAATTAAAATGCCAACAAGATTTATACTTACCTATGCAGATGTTCTGTGGTCTTAAACATGTTGTATTCCTTTTAAAATGGAAGAAACAGACACAATGTCATTTTTCAAAGTACTGTTATTGAAAAATAAAAGTTATAACCATGATTTCTGTTATGGGCTGAATCTTGTCCCTCCCAAAATTCATGTGTGAACTTCTAATTCCTACTCTCTGAGAATGTGACTATTTGGACATAGCACCTTTAAAGAAATAATTAACTTAAAATGAAGCCATTAGGATGGGCCCAAATCTGATTTGACTAGTATCCTTATAATAAGAGGAGATTAGACACAGATGACACCTAGAGAGGAAAGACTGTGTGAAGATACAGGGAGAAAATGGCCATCTGCAAGCCAAGGAGAGAGGCCTTAGAAAATCAACTCGGCCAACACCTTGATCTCAGGCTTCTAGCATCCCAAACTGTGAGACTATATATTTCTGTCACTTAAGCCACACAGTCTGTGGTATTTTGTTATCACAGCCCTTACAAGCTAATGCAATACAGTTCTCTTTCTTGTTTAAAGATAAATAAGGAAATGAAGATAGAAAGGCCCAAAGTTAAGTCATCTCTAACTTGCTCAGACATCCAGCTTTTCATTGATTCCATATGGAAATCAATATTCCCTTAATTGCTTGAACTGTGGCTGTGAATATTCTTCCATCATAACTTCTCTATTAAGAAGAGTGAAATGTCAGATAGTTAGTTGGAACAGGGCTTACCAGAGCTGCATAAAGCAAGCATGAAAGCATATTCCTCAGGGAAACATCTGTTTTTATAAATGAGTTAACTCTGAAGAAGTAGACATGTAAGTAGGATAGGCTAATTAATTTCAAAGGGGATGTAAATAAGAGAAATGTACAAATTACTAGTAGAAAAAATGATGAAAACTAGATTTTTGAGGATTATTATGTTATACCATTTGAGAGTCTTTCAATATACCTAAAAAATGAGGAAGATGCCTGTTTGAGATCCTCTTATTAAAGAGGAGAAAGCTTTTTTCTCACCATTCTATTCTTTTAAGTGTCCTTATAATACATAATCAAATGATAAGATCACATCTTCTTGCTTCTATGTTCATATGAAAAGCTTCCCCATCTCACTGCTTCCTATCAAATGAGAGCAGGAAGTAAAAAAAGCTTTTGTGAACCAGGACATCCTGCAGGTGAACATGTGCCAGCATCCTACCCAGATGCACAGCTTAGGAAGAAGGCCCTGTTCATTGAGCCATACCGGCTTTTCTAGAGAAATTGAACAATCTTTCAAATGATTTGTGAAATTTTAGGCACATAAAACTTCTAGATCTCAGAAATGAACTGATGACTATACTGCCATGGCAGTCATGTTTTACTTTGTGAAATATGTGGAATATAATTTTCTAAAAGGCAGTATAGTATTAGGAGTCTTGTTTTCCAAGATTTTTGGATAAATATTTAAGATCTATGTAAAGTATTTTACCTTAGTTATTAATCACCACTTTATTTGCATACATGGTGGGGGAAGAGCCTCTATTTGAAGATAAAGTCTATCTATGGCCTAACCTGGTCATATGTCAGAGGTGATTCAGAAAAGACATGGGTCAGTCCCGGCAGCATTCTCTACATGAAGAACCAAAGAACATCCTGAGAAAGAATTCAGCCCATGAAGACAGGCGACTGCTACTATGACAGAGACATGAGGTACCACTGCCAGTCTGGGGACAGCTTCTTAGTGCATCACGTGGGACATGGTGGGTAGAGAAAGAAATGTAGTCTCTTTATTCCTAGGATTATATTCACCTATGTCTGCTCCTTGCCACAGGAACCCTGGCCTCTCAGTATGACACCTTTTCACTGACAGAGTTCTTTTAATTTGCACCCAAACAGGTATAGCATACTCAAGATACTAGGGCAAGGGGCTCAAGAGGGGTTCTCAAATCACTCTTACAGTCTGCCTGAAACCAGCACCCCCACCGTCATTACCTAGATTCAAGTGTTTCATTGGGTTTAATACTCTCATATGCATAATTTCTAGGTAGTGTGACCATATAAAAATCCCAAAAAGGATATTTTTGAGGATGAAATGGAGCAGGAAAAGTAGTAAAAATCATATAATTTCTTTGAAATATGTATATTGGACTTACAATTTAATATCATTATCTCATTGGCTGTTCAATGAACTTTATTCATTGCTGAAAATATAAAAATATTCTTGCCGAAATATAGAACTAACATTTGTTATTAAAGCAAAATAAAAAATGTCTTTATATGAATTATTCGTACCTTAAAAAATAAATGGGATAATTATTTTTGGTTCACATACACATTCTTAATCATTTTCTTAGCCTGTACCTGTTTCTAACACTGTGTCACTGGCAATTTTCTGAAGAATATATTTTGCAATGTTGTGCTGTTTTACATTTTTTAATAAAATTGCTTGCAGTTTTCTTCAAATTTGTATTTTGTGATGAATACAGTTTAAATTGCTGACACTCAGTTGACTCTGCTCTGTAGACCATAATTTTTTAACTGAGAAACTGCTATCTACAGATGCTGAGGTTCATGATAAGATCAGAGAAAATTTGGCTAAATAAAGGATCTTCTCAATTCTAATTTTATTGATATATGTAAATATCTTAGTCCAAATATGTTAACAACTGAAAGACAAAAGAGGTGCAAAAACAGAAAAACACATGATGGTCGAAGAGCTGTCGAGCTGTCACTAAGAAAAGTATGCCATAGAGCAGAGGAAAAATAACAAAATGAATCAACATGAGTTTTTAAAAATTAGTAAAACAATCATATATTAAAAACAAAAATGTGATATAAAGATGAAAGAGGTCAGAAAATGTGTGGAGATTTCTTTCTCAGGCCATCTAGGCTCATTAGAGACATTCTAATCATTTTGATCTTTAAGTGAAAAGGTCTGTGTTTTCATACTCTTACTTCTTTTGGTTCCGACGCCAATCTGCAAACTTATTCTCAGCAACTTTTTAAACCTACCAAGGAGTCTGACAGAGTGGTAACGTCCATTACCCAAGTCAAAAGACTACCAATTACATTCTTCTCCCAAAACAAAAAGGGAAGCATTATTGACTTAATTCTAGAAGGTTGCCCAAATGTTTTATCTCAGACCAAAGCCTATCTGCTCCAAGGAGCCTTCCTGTCTGAACAGCTAGCTACTTTCAAATGGCACTGTGTTCCTTTCCCATCTCCCCTTAAATTAAGTCCCAGTTCACCAATTCTCCCACTATGTTATCTTGATCATCACTGTAATTAACAAAGGTCAGGAAGAGCGGGTGTAATGATGCGCACCTGTCGTCCCAGGCTTCCTTGGAGTTTGAGGCTGCAGTGATCATGATTATGCCACTGCACTCCAGCCTGAGCGACAGAGCAAGACCCCTACTCAAATTAATGTAAAATAAAATAATAAATGAACAAAGGCCAAGAAGATATTATCAAATTTGCATCTGAAAATAAAGAAAAGTGAGTGTCTTTGCAAAGATTTTCAGATGGTCCATGTTAGCAGTAAAAACTGACCTGTACATTTATCTCTTATGTTGTTTCTTTCCCAGTTAGGACTGCTTTTTTGCATGCTTTTTGAAAATATTTATGTTGGGAGGTATATATATATATATATATATATATATATATATATATATATATATAAAAGGCCTCAAGAGAACAGGAATGAAAAGGGAAGGATGCACAAATTAAAAAGTCAAGATGGCAAATATATTACTTTGGGTGTATATTTTAAGCAGCTGTAACAACAACAACAACAAAACCCTAAAATTCAAAGTCTCAAACAAAATAGAATTTTATTTCTGTCTTATCTAACGATCCAGGGATGAGCATTTCCAGGCCAGCAGGGAAGCTCCTTCCCTATAGATATCTTGTTTCTCTTCCATTTCCTCCTCCAGTGTTCTTCTCTGGATTGGTTGAGGTTGGATTACACATACTAGTCCATGTTCCATTTTGTAAGAAGGGAAAAAGAGATTAAGTGGCAAGCAAACAATTTCTTCTTTAAACCATTTTACTTGAAAGTTACACATATCACTTTTATTATGAAGTAGTTGATGCTATAGATATGAAATATATGTGAATATACACACAAATGTATATACAAATATAATGCAAATATACATATATAGAATAAAGATATATACATTATATACACATATACAGTCTCAGACAATGCAATGACACAAAAAAATGAGACTTTGTTATGAAGGATTTGGGTGTCTTTGTAGAAAACTATTTAAAATTTGTCAGATTAATATTAGTCAGCAACTGCACATCCCTTTTCATTTTGTCCTACCATCATTTTGATTGTTTATAGATTTTTACACTTGCAACCTAAACTTAACAAGAATAAATCAGTGACATTTTCCTTGAATACTTATTGTATAGATGAATTAATAATACCTCTCACAGAAAAGAATACCAATACATTTGGGAAGACTGACATAAGGAAAGAGAAGATATGATTTAGATCTTCAGAAGAGAAGGAAAATTCACAAAGTTATTCAAAGCAGAAATCTGTAATATAATTTCAATTTCTATTCTATGGTATCAATCTACATTAAAAGTGCATATTTCAAAACAAAATCCCTCTGATGCCCTTGTATCCCGTATGCACATTTATACTCTCAAAATATTCCATATGTCATTTCTTAAAATTATTTATGTATTTCTACTAATGCAGGGCCAAATAAACCAACTAAATAGAATAAGAGGAAATTAGTTTGGCCAGTCTTTTATTTTTCTCTAGTTCTGCTATGGAAGCATTTTAGCATCCATCATTTTTAAAAGAAATAGAAGATTCCTTAAAGTAAGGCTGACTGCCTTCCATTCCAGACAAAATAATGTTAAACCTCTTTTAGAATACAATAAATTGTAAGATAAAATTAGCTATTGTTGTAAAGGGTAACTTTGCCCTGCAAAGTTAAATTAAATTCAAGTATTTTTTGTGAGCTATTATAAAATGGATTTGGCTCCTCCACACTTGGTCCCTCGTATAGCTAGAGCCCTTGTGCTTGCTGGTCCCCATGCTGGAGCTCTTCTGCTTTTCCATGGGTGCCCAGCTTTTATCACCACCATGTACAGAAGTATTTTTAACTTATTGTATTTTCTTCTTAAAGACCTTGAACTGAGGAGCTAGAAGTGGATTCTATCACCAAGAAATGAGCCCGAAGTAAAATCACTTCCTCTGGTTAATCTGCATTACAATTTATTTAATGCTGATAAACAGGAATTGACATATTATTCATCAAAAAATTGTATCAAAGAAATATATTTAACAGCATGAGGTAAATGCTAAGTGTCTCTTGATTAGTATAGATGATCAATATTTTAAAAACACAGGTAGGAAAGATCATTGTGCACAGGACTATTCAAGGAACTCTTCATAGTGGAGTGCAATAGAGATGGGCAGATTTCAACAAGGTAGAGAAGCAAGTGGAAAGAAAAATAAACTTGGAGGGGAGGATATTCTGATCAAATTCTTCAACCATCTGTCTTAAAACTTCTCCACAATAATATGAAATGTTTATTCGGTACTTACTCTGTGGCAGGCATTTTATAAAGATTATTCCATGTGAACTAAGAACACACTTTTGACTTGAGTGCCAAGATAATCTGCACTTTAGATACATGGATTCTGATGCATAGATCAGTTTGCTAATTCATTTAAGGTGACATAGCTAATAAATGGCAGAGACATGATGCAAACCTGTGTGTGACTCTGGAACTCACATGCTTAACCACTGTAATATAAGGACATTCTTACTGCAAAGTCATGGAGTGCATCCCTTTCATCTCACTTCTACTATCAGTGATTACCTTTCAGGCCCTTATCATACCTGACACGAACTGCTATTACAACCTTCTTAAAATATGGCTTCTCTAATTTTAATATCCGTCTCTCTAGCTTATCCTTTCTAATGTCCACCTCATGTTCTGCTCATTCTTTCCCTATTCAAAACCTTTTAGAGGATCCCAATGCATTAAAAACACACACACACTTAAATAACCTCTTTTGATGTCCTCATATAACCCAATTTACTTTTCAACATTTTTGCCCTCCCTACCGCTCACTCTACTTCATATCAGATTAATTTATGTACTTGCTTGTCTTTCCCATTAGATTTCCAATTACTTAAGGATAGAAGAAATGCTTTCTCTTCCTGCCCTGTATAGTTCTTAGCAAAATTCCAAACATATGGTGGACATTTATCAAATGTTTGTTTCTTTGAATTTTGCTGAATCGGCATGTTGTAAGCATAATGAGTAGTTTGTGTTGACTAAGGCAGGTAAGATATGAAGGGAAGAAGCAATAGAAGTGCAGGGTAGGGGGGCCATATTGTGGGGGCACATCAAAGATCAATGTCAGAAGTTGGGACTTTAACTTGAAATAGGCAACAAAATGTGCTTTGAGATGAAACATGTTAAGGTATATGGCAAGGTATAAAACCAAATTTCATTGTAATGTTCCCTCTGTTGCCATTCTTTCTTCCCACATACAAATGGCATGCATTTTGCCTAACACCTTAGGAAAATCATTGCCTACATCCAGTGAATGAAGCAGTTCTCAATGTTATTTTTACAAATTCTCAAGATAGTTCTACTTTTTCAGTGCCTGTGAATACTTGCCCCTATAAGCATGAATGTCTCTTTGGGAAGGTACAACAGATTGCCACTAGTATTATAACTGGGCATGTTAAAGCATGACATTTCCATCACCTGAAAGCGAATGGGGAAACCAAGCTGAACCAGGCCAGAGCTCATTGGCAGTGGTGGCTGGTTCAGACTTAACTAGCACCTGTCACTCGCAGTCTCCATTGCTAACAAAATCATTCCTTAGATATTGTAGAGTCACATCAAGATGTTAGAGTTACCATCTCTTGAGGAAGCAGAATGTCCTGGTATCTGCAATATGAGAACAGATTCCTCCTGGCTACTCTCCAGGTTAAGGTCACAATCCTAATATTGACAAAGTTGCTTCCTTTGAGATTCTTTATCCATAAAATGAGGAAACAATGCTTAACAATGCTTATGGATAGATAACAGCTCTATCCAACAGTTTTTATTTTGGGGTTTTTGTTTGTTTGGGGTGGAGAGGAGGAAGTGTCAACTGATATATAATAAATACCAAAAAAATTTAAAGTATAAACCAAGATTTGATATAAAAAACCTTTTTTAATAATCAAATTCTGTAATTAGTCAGAGATATAAAGTCAAACCATAAGTACAACATTGGGGTCTTGATATTCTTATAAGCCTTTTTAGTCTCTTTCTGCTGGACAAATGATGGGTCTATGAGAAGATAGCCTGATAGCCTCTGTAAACTTCCAAAGTCTTTCATCTTGTTGTTATAAAACTTCTCCGTCTTTCAGAAATGTAATGAGGCAGGATTATATAGAGGAAAGGACTCAGGGTTGGGCATAAGCATCATGAAGACTAGGCACTGGTGTGTAGAAAGTCTCAACTTCTCTATGCCTCGGTTTTCTTATTGGTAAAATATAGCAAGTAAATAAAATCATTGCAGGAGTCTTTACCTGCTCTAAAGTTTAGTGATTCTGTGATAGCAAATTTTCTCAAAATCAGTCTCACAAGTAAGAAAAATGTTGAATGTATATTTGGTGACAGTCTGACAGTATATCCATGGATTTTCTGTGTGTTCCACTGTTAGTTCTTAATAAAGATAAGTAAGATTTAGTCCTTGCTCTCAAGATGTTTATAACCTAACAAGTAGAAAAAGACAAAGGCATTTAACATAAAGCAAAATGTAATCAACTATTACTTGAATCCAAAGAGAAATAAAATATAGTCAAGTAAAATCAGTGGAGAACATGTTATTAAACTGTTAACATTTGATTTTGTTATGGGATCTTCGGGATGTCCATTTCCTGGCTGGAAACCTCTGTGGCCGATGACACCTTTGGCAGTTTTGCTTGGGCCCACTGGGCTCATTTCGCCCACTTGGCCAGTAGGCTGCACTCGGCTCATACCACTGGTCTGGGTCTCATGCTTGCCAAGGGCGTGTATCCATGCCTGCCAAGGGCGAGTCAGGCATGGAACAGTGAGGGGTGTGTGAGTGAGTGTGGGGTCTGGCCACTGTGCACAGTCAGACACACCAACTGCTGCAGTGGGGTGGGAACTCCAGGTGCTGGCACTGGGGCTGGCTCTCTGCAAGGCTACAGCCAGACCAGGGGCACCATAAGCAGCTTCCACAGCTGGCACTAAGGAATGTGGTGGCACCTGGAATCTTGGAGATGCCAGGAACCACAGGATCCCAAAGAGGGAGTCACAGCCCTGGCTTGGGGAACTCCTAGGTCTGGGATCCCCAAAGGGCCACAACTCTTCTCTCCTTTTCTTCTCCCGCAACCTGGCAAGCAAGGGACATGTTTCAGGCCTGTTCGTGTTACTGCTCTTTTAGCCTCACCATTCAGTGGGTCCCGACTTCTTGTCATGTGACCAGGAAGAATGAGATATGCAGACAAGTGAAGGGTGAGCAAGACGAAGAGGAGCGTTATTGGGCAATAGAACAGCTCAGGGGAGACCTGCAGGGGGCAGCTCCTTTCTGCAGCCAGGGTGTCCAGATGAGTGTTCAGCTCCTAGCAGAGAGGATAGAACCTCTCTTCAGGCAGGTAGTCCCAACAAGTGTTCAGCTCCCAGCAGAAAACGTAGCTCCTCTCTGCAGCTGCTCTTCCCATCATCTGCTCTGCTCTGGCTGAGCCCTGGGCTTTTATCAGCCTCAGTGGGGAGGAAGTACATGCTGATTGGTCCATGGGCAGCCATTGGTGGGCCCAGAAAAGGCACCACAAATTCCCACTATGGTCTGCAGGACTGGCAGCCTGCCCCCCAGCCTTCAGGCCCTCCCTAGCCTGAAGGTGGGGCCTCAACAGGGACCCACCCCCTTCCACACAGAAGCCTGTCTGCCTCCTGCTGCTGTCCATGGCACCCAGGCTGCTTGCACCAAGGGGCACCTGCAGGCCAGCGCCGAGCTGCCCTCAGTCCCCCTTCAACTCCCCCCACCACGTGCTTATTGGCACCCAAAGTCTGGAGGGGGCTGAGGCATGAGGGGGCTGGCATGTCAGCAATACCCCGAGTGAGTGCACACCTGGATGGGCTGTGACAGCACCTGGGCTTGGCCCCAACCCTGCTCTGAGATTGGAGCAGGCACCAGGAATGGGAAGAGGCAAGTCAGTGGGAGCAGACACTGCCCAGCCTGAGGGGACAGGGGGGCCTTCCTGGGCTCCTGAGGGTGCAAAGTGCAGAGATGCCCAGGCCCTACGTTTGGGAGGGCGGAGCTCTCGCCCACTCCATGGAGTGTGTGGCAGCCCCAGCTGCACCTCCTCACAATCTGGGGCCGGGGCTCCAGGTCCTCGCTGAGGCCCTCTCTGTCCACTCCTCTGTGCCTGACCACACTGCTCCCCATCCAGTGGGTGGCTCAGCCTGGCTCCATCACAGTAGCCCCCAGGGCAGTGGGCTCCACGGAGGCTCTCGCTTGTCCCTAGTTCCTGCCAGCTCTGTGGAGTGCAGCACCACTCCGGGGCCAGTTCTGCCTCCTCCCCACACCCTCCCCACAACGGTGGCAGGCGACAGCGGCAACTGCATGGCCAGGATGCAGAGCAGCAGAGGCTCTGGACCTGGGAGCAGGTCCTGCCTGGCCTCAGGAGGGTGGGAGCAGTGCAGTCTGCTGCTCAGGGACAGAAGGCACAGGGGACCCACTGCTGCCATTGATGATGCTCCCACAGCCGCTCCTGCTGTCACTGCCTGTGCCTCCCTGATGACAGCAGCTGCTCTGGATGGTCTGCCGCTGCCATTAATTTAAGCATTGAAGAATCAATAGCCTTAATCATAAATGGGGATTAGATGGGAGTGAGAATTCAGGAGCACATAACAACAAAGGAAAAACATTCAGTGGTCTATGGGTGGGGATAAATGTTAAATCATAGGGCATTCTATGACAACACTGAGTAGTAGAATTTGGCATACTGGCTTCTGGGAGACAAGAACTAACATAGGCTAGGACAAAGAAAAGAGAGCCTTCAATGCCAGACACAAGAGTTCAGAGGTAATGGGGTCCATGGTCAATTTTTGAGCAAGGGAATTAAATGAGAAGGTCAAAACTGTACTTGAAACTGAGTATCAATTGAAGATTGAATGCTGAAATTAATGAGGAGCTCTTTCCCAGATAAGGAAGGCCAAGGTGTGAATCTGGCTGCAGAGGTAAGAAAAGAAATAAAGGGAGGTACATTCTAAAGCTTAATAAGCGCTCTGTTTTATAAATGTTCTATAAGTGCCTAATAAGTTCTAGGCACTGGGTAAGGTGTAGGAATACAAAGATGAACAAAATGGTGTCCTCTGTCAAGAATGGCTTATTGGTTAAAAGGATGACTTCCAGAAGTTGAAGCTTGGCTTCATAGTTTTAAGCTGTGTAACTCTGGACAAGTTGCTTACCTTCTTTGTGCCTTAATTTCCTCATGTGTAAAAAGGGGATAATTAGTAACATTCCTCAAACTGTTATGATGAAGATTAACTAGGTCAATGTAAGGCAAAAGATTTTCTGTCATATAATACAGGATTCAGTATATATTTGCTACTTCTACTTCCACTTCCACACAGAATTACACAGAATGAAGTAATTTCAGAAGGAAGAATTTGGTTTAGTGAAAGTAAGACATTTCAAATAGCAAAATAAAAGAAAAGGGATATCTTTTAAAAGTGGTAAGAATCCATTTATTAATATTAGCTTAGCTCAAGAATGAATATAAACAACTAGACAGGCTTCACCTAATCTAATACTTTAAAGACATGTTACTTCTCAGAGGAATAGAACTCTCAGAACAGAAGAACAAATTGTATATTTTATATTAAATAAATAAGAAGTTCATGGTTATAATAACTCAATCTGTTCTGCATTACTTTATCAATGATGGAGATAGAAAATACTATGAGAAGCATGATACTTTATCCTTGACTAGTTTTTCTAAGCTGTCTTTTTAAATTGAACAGCAAAGAGTTTTTGCAATTGAAGATTATTTATACTACCCATTTAATGTCTAGCATTTTGAACATTTTCTTTCCTGCTTTTTTAAAGTAATACAATTTCCCAGTGTTTAGCACAGGGGATATTACGGTTTGGGGGGATAAACCAACTCCTGAGAGTTTAAGTTTATCTACAGGTCCTTCCTTATGTGTCTAAAAGTAAACTCTGGAGTACTATTGTGAGTAGCATTATCAAAGTTGCTTTTGTGTGTCAGCATTTATTTTAGTTTTGTTGTCAAAGATCATGCAGTTTTTTTGTTTCTATTTATCAACCTAAATATCCCTTAGTCAACAATCTTTTCTGAAAGCCTGTAATCCTGAAACAGATTTCCTGAGCAAGATGGAGTTAAATAAAACACTCATTTTCTAGGACTTGGAACATTTGTCCTAATTTCACACCTTATGCTGCAGCTCAGTCAGTGCTTGAAAGGCAAAGCATGCAGCCAAAAAGCAAGTTCCAACATCACCTCTTCTATTGCATTGCACCTTTTGACTCCCTAAGACAGAATAAGATGCACTAACATGCCTCTTTGCTTTACAGTGAAGCAGTATTTGGATTATGTCAAAATCAGAGACCTGAAGAAAGATGCTTAATTTACATGCAAACCCTGTTTCAAACCTTGTCTACTATATTCTTTCTGAGACTCTTTATTGTTTCAAAAATAATTCTCAAAGTAGCTTCAGTAATGGAAAGCAATTTATTCACACAGCAAATATTTATTAAACACCTACTATATCCATATCACTGAAATCACTATAGTATGGGATGAGGGAATGGGGATGAACTATAGGCGTAAATTATACAAAAATAGGCAATAAGAAGGTTTTTCCTTCAAGAGTTCAGAATCTAGTTGAAAATATAAGTAAGAGTATACAAATTGTATATTATTAGAAAACTATGGATCATTTTTCATTTTTAGCATCATGTCTACTTTCAGATACATAGAAATGCTTATAGATATTTAAATTTAAAATCCTCTTTCCTCGAGGATACAGAGTAATGTTTAATTTATTTATAATAAACTGGATAAAAGAACCTTAGAGAGTGATTTGAACAAAGCCACCAGATAGAAATAAAAGACAGGAATCTTTCCTAGCAAATATTAGAAATATCAAAGATTAAATGAAACTGATTTTAATAAACAATGATTTGTTTCTAATTTGCATTTAGACATGTTCATAAACATTGCCTTTTATGATTGCCAAAATTTGATTCGGATGTGCATTGTCTCTATTCTTATTTAGCAATGTGTATATAAACTTCAATTTCTTTCCCAATCACTGATGTAGGAAAATCAGTATGTGCCCTCCACAAACATTGGTTAATTGTTTGAATCTAGTTTTCGCAGCTAGATTCTTCTTTACCCTGTATTTCTGTTCCTTGATTGTAGGGTAAGTTCAAAGGGAGACGATGTGGTAATGAGTCCAAAGGGCTTATGAGTCATAGGCTAAAACCTTAGCAACTTGGCAGATGAGCTGTGCTTAAAATTTAGAAATGGGCTCAGCATTGATGTACTATGGAACCCATATCTGGAATTTCTACTTTGTCTTAGTCCATTTTGTCCTATTACAACAGAATGCCACAGACTGAGTGATTTACACTTAATGGAGGCCAGGAAGTTCAATATCAAGGTGGTGACATCTGGCAAGGGCCTTCTTGCTGCATCATCCCATGAAGGTGAGAAGGTAAGAGAGGGTTTGAGAGCAATGGGGACAAAGGGTCCAACTCATCATTTTATCAGGACACCACTCCTGAGATAACTAATCCATTCCTGAGATAATGGCATTAATCCATTCAGGAGGGCAGAGATGTCTTGATCTAATCCTCTCTTAAAGATCCCACCTCTTAACACTGTTGCACTGGGAATTTAGTTTTCAACACATGAATTTTGGGGGACACATTTAAACCATACCATACTTTTAAAAAGGAAGTTTGTGGAGGAGAGAAAAATGGACCAGTTGGTCATTCGATTTCTCACTTGTTCATTACCATATTCTCATTAGATTGAGTTTAATTCATTTTATATATTTTCTGGGTTGACCATGTAAACATAACTAGCATAGTGGTTAAGAACATGGACTTGAACCAAATTTGCCAAGTTTGAACCATGCTTCTGCCATATAAGCTTGAATAATTTCTTCACTTCTGTCTTCATTTTCCTTATCTGTATAATTAAAATAATGGGATCAACTTCCAAATGCTTTGGGAAAATTAATTGACTTGATATAGGTAAAGTTTTTAGAGCAGTGTCTGTCCATTTTAAGCATCTCTAAGATTTTGCCATTACTATATTGTTATTCTTTAGAATATTATTGGGATTCTCTACTGTAACTTTTTGCTTCACATACAATTTTAGAAGAGTCAAGAAAAGTTGGCAGCACCGAATGAGGGAAGATCAGAGTCTTTCCCTTTGTTTTTAAACACTAAGGTAACCATTTTTAAAAAATATCTAATTTCTATGACATGACCAGTCACCAAAGTTTTTCTTTCCTGTGGTTTAAATGAGGTCTACTTTAGTAATCACGATTTAGCAAGAAGTCAACAGAGGGCATGCAAAACACAGTGTTAAAAAAAACTTTCACTCTTATTTATACAACAGTTTATATTGAGTGTTAATATTTAAATTCTTTAAAAAACTATACTTTTTTTCTTTATTTCATCAATATAGACAACAAATATAATTTCTTTTGTCTATTTAAAAAGAAGAAAAACAGTAGATAAGCAGAGAAATCTAACACTCCTCTGAAATCTAGACATAGCATCTTTTTAATCAAAAACAACAGGTTAATCCTGGCTTTGGAGTCAGAGAAATCATATTAAAATGCATACAGTGTGATTCATTCAAAACCTGAATATAGCAACATATAATCCTATAAAGCCACAGAGATTTTTAGATCAAAGCAAAAAAGGTAAATCAAACCTGAAATGAATGGATTAACAGAAATGGGAGCGTTACTGTAATATTCCTTTGTACTGAGTAACAGAGAAGCAGATTTTGTCAAATCTTGCTTTCTAATTCCCATCTGGAAAAGCCTTGCTCTGGAAATGAACAGGTTTGAAGGAATGCCTTTGACATCTGTAAAGTTAAAAAGCATCAATAATTGGAATGGGCTTAATCCCTCATTCAACAGCAGGTACTTTATACGCAATCATAAGAAGTGATGAAAGTCAGGCACAGATGTACAAATTGTTAGATTTAATCAGATTGGTCCTCTACCCCTGGTTTACTCTATTCTGTTTTAGCTTCTGCTTAACCTGAGTTAATGGAAGGAGATGGTCATATATGTAAGGAACAAATCCAGGTCAAAAATCAGTTTGGAGATGTCGGGTGACAACTGAGTTTAACCCATGAACCACCAGATATAGAAAGTTTTCATTAATAGTTCTTTGAATAGTATGAATCATCATTCATACTAGTCTATATTAAACTGATTCTGTGAAAAGGGCCTAGTGTTTGCTCCTCTGAGATTCTGCAATAAGAAGAGGCTGTGTGTCAAAGAGAAACAGTAGTGGGTGGTAGGGGAAAAATAAACAGAGGAAGTAGACCTGACACTTAGGGGTTGACAACATCAACTGTTTCTGATGTCTAAAATATTTATTGGAGCGGCACACACATTTAGATGCTCTGAAATTTATTCTGTTTTCACAGTTCCAGCTGTTAAGTAGCCATCTCTCTCTCCAAATAGTGGTATAGAGATGGAGAAAAGAAGATGAAATTTGTAATTGCACAATCAAATTACAGTATGGATTTAACTAGAAATTGATTCAAAAATTTATGCTTATCTACCCACATCTCAAATTTTGGGGAAGCATTTTAATTTCAATTATTTACTATTACTATGTCCTATTGGAAGTCTAAAGAAAAACTTGAAAATACTATATAACATGTTTCATCAGAACCTCTAAGCATATTATTGCCTACTAGATTTTTTTTTATTTTACATTTATTTATTTGTTTGTTTCTTTTTTGAGACGGAGTTTCACTTTTGCTGCCCAGGAGTGCATTGGGGTGATCTTGGCTCACCGCAACCTCTGTCTTCCAGGTTCAAGCGATTCTCCTGCCTCAGCCACCCGAGTAGCTGGGATTACAGGCATGCACCACCACGCCCAGCTGATTTTGTATTTTTAGTAGAGACAGGGTTTCTCTATGTTGGTCAGGCTGGTCTCGAACACCTAACCTCAGGTGAGCCACCAGGCCCGGCCCAATTCTTTTTTATTTTTAATTTTGAGACAGGGTCTCACTCTTTTGCTCACGCTGGAGTAGACAGGCACCATCATAGTTCACTTCAGCCTCGATCTCTTGGGCTGAAGTGATCCTCCTGCCTCAGACCCCCTAGTAGCTGAGACTACAGTTACACACCACCATGCCCAGCTGATTTTTTCGTTTTTTTGTAGAGACAGGATCTCAATATGTTGCCCAGGCTGGTCCCCAACTCCTGGTCTTAAGCAATCCTCTGGTCTCAGCCTCCCAAAGTCCTGGGATTATAGGCGTAAACCACTGCACCTGGCCCAGATTCTTTATATGGTGCTGTACACGCTCTTTTAAAATAAACCAAAAACTTGGATAATAAATTATATAAGAACTAATACTACTAGAAATGGTACTATTTTATTTTGTTTCCCCATTTGTAGTAAAACTGTTTTTTTCAAACTCAGTAATATATATATGTGAATGTGCTTTTAATTTCTAACATACCATATTGTACATACATATTAGTTGTCAGTATTCTTGTACTTCCACAATGATAGAAATATCTTAAAATTAAGGAATTTAATAGTCAAATAGAGATTTACATTCAGAGAAAAGAAAAATACCCTTTTCAGTTTTGTCTCATTTTCATGCAAATAATTTTTGTTCTTACTCCATCTTTATTAAATCTTAATTTCAGTATAAAAAATCTGCAGACTCCATATGCAGCAAGTTCTCTCCCTCTTCTGACCTCAATCATACACAAAACTTTAAAACAGAATTATTTCTTACCATATGGGATCTGAGACTAAGATCAAACCCAACCTAGACAAATGCCATGCAGCAAGTTGACAACTGTTCCTGGAGTCCTGGGCAATGCCTGGGAGAGTGCCTGCCAGGGCCTACTGTTTTCAAACGAGTTTCATTTCTCTAACAATTTAAATCTGCCAAGAAGAAACCGAGACAATCAAGCTTCGTGCCAAAAAGCCCCAAGCTTAAGCGAGAGATGTATCCTCTCTTTAGCCTGCTGATGAGAGAGAGAGCAGAGGGAGAGGAAAGGATAAAGATTCATAATGAGTAGGACAGAGGCTCATATGCTTTTGGAATGCCACAACAGGACAATTTCTGGCCCTAATGATGTTACTTTGTTGAGCTTCATATCTGGGATAGAGCACACCATTTTCCTTTTTCTGTTCTGAGTTCCATTACATTTGGGATTGAATATTATCTATGCCGTATCTTCCTCCCATCTCCCCATCCTAACCCTCCCACAACTGTGTCAACCAGAGAAACATCCCACTAGAGAGGCTCCTGGTTCAATTTTGGACATAAAATCTTGGGACCAAGGAAACCTTCCTGGAGAGACCCAGCGTTCTCTGCTGTCAGTTTCCTGGCCCTTTGCTTCTTTATATCACCTCAAACTCACCTTCAAAAAGGAAGTAAACAAGAAAGTCAGAATATCTATCATATGGACTACAATTTGTGAGAAAAGGAGAGCAAAAGAGAGGGCCTGGTGGTCGCTTTCTACCCCAAAGAGCCATATGCACTGAGAACGGCTGAGAACCTCCTCTGCCAACCCAGCAGCAGCCTTCCTAACACCTTGTGTTTGAGAAATGAGAGACCTACTGTTTATTATCACAGGTCCAGGTGGTAAAAATCCAAAGTTTATCCAAGCAGATATCTTCAATCGTAATACCAAATGACAATAAATTGAGGTAAAATGTTGCTGTTGCAAATCTACAAATGAGCTATACTGTGTACTATTTTGAGGTAAAACATTTTCAGAACTACAAATTTATGATCCTTCTAGTAGCTGAAATATAATCTTTTGAATCATACTGTTCTGAATTCAAATCCCAGCTTCCCACCAACTAGCTGTGTGACTGAGCAATTTATTTATAAATTGTCTGAGTTCTGGCTTTTTCTTCACAAGGAACATCAAAAACATATTCCACAGGGTAATTTTGTGAGGATAAAAAAACGAGATAATTGATGTAAAGCACATAGAACTATTGCAAAGTTATCACTGCTGCATGGTAAGCACTTAGTAAATAATGGCTATTCGTAGTTTTCAATTTGGGATAAATGTATGATGTTAAATGAATTTGCTAACTTTGGCCTTAAGACAATCACTGCAAATATTTTGCTTTTGAAATTGTTTTGAGATTTTTCTCTCAATTGCCTTCCATTTATCCTGAAAAATCCATTACTTATGACATGATATCAGAGTCATGTAGAAGGCAGATTAGAAAGAAGAGCTTTATAATCACAACTGAGAGGGAATTTGAAATCCACATTGTGTTGGGAATAAACTGAGACACCTTTCTGGAGGACAACTTGGCAATGTCTGTCAAAGCCATCAGAATTTCATTTCTAGGGATGTGCCAAAGGGCATTATGAAGATATAGCTCTAGTGATATTCACTGCAATTTTTAAAAAATTAAAAACCATTTGTATGTCCCTTGACAGAAGATTGTTTAAATATATAATGATACATCATACCAGTGGAATGTTATGTAGCCATCAAAAATATTGTAGAAAAATATTGAATGACATAAAGAATAATCATTTAATAAGTGAAAAAGTATACTGAAGACAATATTACAGCATCCTGTTTTTCACAGAGGAAAAGTCTTCAGAGGATATACACCAAAATATTAACATCTTATATCAGCATGGTAGGATTATGAATGACTTTAAGGTTTCTGTTCTTGATTTTCTGAAATTTAAATGATTTTTTGAACAAACATGTATTGTTTAGTAATTTTTAAATAATATAAAATAAATTTACTTGAGTTTTAAATTTTGCTATTTCATTGAAAATTCAGAAATGTAAATAATGATATCTATAAAGCCAAGCATAAATCCACACACAAATTTATCCACACGTATTTATTCATATTTTCTCTAAAATGCCAGTATATTGGTACATACTATGTTTGCATACACAAGCATACTAACAGATGAAAAATTCCTACCAAGTTCTCATAGTAAATCTGTGTATTTCTTCAAATATTCATTTAAATCCCAATTTAAAGCTGTATTTAAGAAATAGTTGCAGCATATCTTTTAATGCCTCTTCCTTGTAAAGTCTTCAAATGCTGCTGACCTTGCATAATGTTTTTTTTCTTACAACATATTAATTATTGTTCTGGCACCTCTGGCCTACTCATGAAATCAATGAAGTGTGAAATGCGTCTGTGCAGAGTAATATTTCATATTTGGTACTTTATGTATTAATTACTTTTCTGTTTCTGCTAATACAGACTGGGGGAAAAAACACCCCATTCTGTAATGAGGTGTCAGTGGGGAAAGAAGGAAAACAGCAAACAATTCTGATTTGCTGACCTATCGAAAGCTACTAAGAGAAGAAAGAGAATCTTCTGCACCAGTTCCCTCTGCTGAGAGTGTCTCCTTCTGTAAGCCTGCTACTTAGCAAGTGAGGGGCCTTCTCATAGTGGAGCCTGGCTTTCTTGTGTTTAAAATAACAGATGTGAGATTATGAGAAGCAAGTCACTCAAGTCACACCTCATTGTTTTGAGCCTGACATATAAAATAAAATCCAAAATCCAAAGTTCAACTCAATGTCAACCAAAGATGGAATACAGAGTGCAATTAAAATATATAACAATTTACCAAATTATAATCTGCAAAGAGAAAAAAATGTGGGAAAATGCTAGTCTGTTAAGATCCTATTTAGTTGTCACTTCAGCTATCCAACAGTTAAAATATAAATCAGTTTGACAATCTGAAAGCAGCAGTTTTAATCCTGAATTCCAGGGGTGCTCTCTCTCTCTCTCTCTCTCCCTCTTTCTCTCACTCACACACAGACACACACACATGCCAGTCATTCAGCCTGAACAGAAAAATTCAGGTGTGATATTTCTTGATTCAAGAGCTGTGTTAAGCAGTTATAAAGCTGATGTAATTTACAGCAAATAATAAAGCTAACCTAAGAGACCTCAGCCTCAATTTGCTAAAACTTATTACACCTCATTGGCCACTGAATATCCAAAAGAATAAAAAAGAAAAAAAAAACTTACCTGAATAAGAGACTTGACAAGTATTAGCCTAGTGAGAAATGATTGGCTTAAAATTGCTCTGGCTACCCCGAAAGGTTCAGATGAACACTATTTATGATGTTATGATTTCCTATTTCCTGAGTTATGTCAAAGCCAAAGGAGCTACTGGAACTATACTAATGAGTCCATAGATGTTTTCAGATGTCTGTTTGACTCCTGAGTCTAATTAAATGTCCTAATATGACATATGTGGTTCTCCACTGAATATCCCAGCTGTGGAATTAATACGTTACAAAAATACACACACACAATTATCTCAAACTACAGTGAGTTTGAGGTTATAAATATAGCAATTATATTGAATTCACTAACATAGCACTTTGTAAAGTGCTATAAACATGCTAAATAAATGACCAAGAATGTGTGACTATTAATAACTAGCCTCTTGTTAATGACACCTCACAGCCTTGTGAAGGAGAGTGCGCTACTTTGGTTTTGTACCATACCATCTTTAATCCATATTTTTCATGAGAATTTTTTTGTAGCAACATGTATTCCCATGTGCCAAAATGTTTTGGGGGTGATGGGGGTAAAGAACTCATGGGCAAAATGTTATGATGTCAAAGAAAAGTAACAAATGGCTGGTTTACCCTAAATTAACAACCCAGTCCAAAATAATTCTAACAGTCTCAGAAGTTATTCTATAATGGTAAATTTGGTGAGGTGAAATATTTGCCCACAACTTTCAAAAATTTCCATTATGTATTAGCAGATACGTAATACATATTCTTTATAGTACAAATCCCTTATTGACAGTGATTATTATACTCGAAAAGAAATAAAAATGTAAAAAGTTATTTGAGCGAGTCACAGCATTTTTACATGTGTTTCAATCAACTGTAATCTCATGTGACTAGAGATTCTCAGATCTGATAACTTTCTGAAATATGATTCAGATATTAAAAATTACATTCATGACTAAAGAAGTAGGAGACATTCAAATATATTAAACACAAATCTATAACACACATATACTTTGAAACATCTATAAACACTTCCTTTAAGAAACATGTAGAATACACAAGGCAAACATCCCTTCACCTTATTTGCCCACCTCATCCTCATTGCTCAAGCGTTTATTATTAAGAGGTTGGTGTATATTTGCTTTCTATTTTAGACTGCTTACTGTGTCACAATTTGTATACTGGTACAGTTTATTCATTTATTAAGAAATCAAGTGTGTATATTAGGATGATTTTAAGTAAATTTAAAAGTAATCATTTCAGCCATTGTGGGTTCGTAGAATTCTCTTAAATTTAGTTGATCTGAGGATTATTAAAGAAAATGAGCAACATATGTTCTGCTTAGAATACAGACAGTAAAATTTCAGAGTAAAATCAGAAGACTGTTGAATAGAAAGAGGACAAAGGTTAATGTCTGGAAGCAGAAATCACTTCTCATAAATCACTGGCTTATAAAAATAAAGTGCTTATCCTTTCCTTTTGTTCAAGGTGTAATTGCCCATCCTTGATACTACCTATGGCAGTTATATAATACACTGTTGGGAGAAAAAAATGGAATATTTGAATGCCTAAGGATGCATGCAGTATCATTCTACCAAAGCTTCCAACATTGAAGTGTTTGTATTATTAACAGCCTCTAAAATTTACTATAGTGACTAATTTGCTATAGTCATGAGACAGAAATCATGTAGCATGATTTACACTACTAGAAAATCTTTACTAACTTGGGCACCGTAAATTTGATCATTTAATAATTTAGTACTAAATCTCTTCTTTTAATGAAAGGAGAGTGATCATGATTATTATTAATGCTATTTTTAGTTAGTTTTAAATTATGCCATTATGATAAAACATTCTACTTCATTTAATATTTCAACTCAAAATTAATTTCCAAAGTCTTTAACTCTAGTCAGTCTGCATAATTACAAGGTATTGTAATACTCTTGCAATTGAATTTCAGAAGTGCATTTAACAATAGTGAAAGTTAAGTGAATATCTTATTTAGGTATTGCAGCTTAGAGTTGCTCTTGGTTTTTCAGACTTCCAACAGACAGCATTCTAAATCAGAAATTAATTTTTTAATTTTTGAAGAAAAGATAAACAATAGGCAAAGCCATTTATATCTGTTTCTGATAAAAACACTGCATAGTTTTAAAGTGCTGTGATGAATAGTCTGTGTGTTCTTTCAGATCAGTGCTTTTGAAAAATAAACAACAGTTAACATGTCACTTCAAAATGCTCTCATGTGCCACCTTCATCCAATTTATGGCATCTGATAAATAGAAAGGTGAATTTCAACATTTTGTTGAAAGCAGTAGTTGTTTCACATGCTGACAGGTGTTAGCGTAAAAGCAACTTGCAACTTAAGACCACCATCTACTGGTTCTGTCCAATGCTGCAAAAGCTACAGTGTAATATCTGATTGATTTTAAATGCACCCCACTAAAGAATCTACCAACACTCTTTCAAAAAATGTGCTAAATTAGTCACCTACCTCCTAACCAATACTTTAATACTGAGTATGCACATTCTTAAAGACCTCAATCATTCTTTTTTTTTTTTTTTTTTTTTTTTTTTGAGACGGAGTCTCGCTCTGTCGCCCAGGTGGGACTGCGGACTGCAGTGGCGCAATCTCGGCTCACTGCAAGCTCCGCTTCCCGGGTTCACGCCATTCTCCTGCCTCAGCCTCCCGAGTAGCTGGGACTACAGGCGCCCGCCACCGCGCCCGGCTAATTTTTTTTGTATTTTTAGTAGAGACGGGGTTTCACCTTGTTAGCCAGGATGGTCTCGATCTCCTGACCTCATGATCCACCCGCCTCGGCCTCCCAAAGTGCTGGGATTACAGGCGTGAGCCACCGCGCCCGGCCCTCAATCATTCTTTAAGACATCAATCATTCTTCAAGAAACAACAATAACTAGAATCTGTTATGCTAGAGGCTGTTACCTATGATGACTAATGGTAGATTTTTTAAAAATAATCAACCTGATACTCTTGAATCAAACTTGATTGATAGACATGGATATCAAAATTTATGCTCTACCTCAGAGGAAGATACCCTATGACAGTCAAGATTCGATTTAAGAAGTAAATAGAAAAGCATTTTGTTGATGAGACTCCTTTATACTGATTCATATTGCCTTCCATTACTCCAGAGCCATGGTTAAGCATTGACTTTGGTGGGACACTATAGCCCTGAGAGGGACATGGGATTGTTACTTAGGGTCACAACCTCTGTAGAGCCTTTCAAATTAATATGATTAGTAATTTACAGAGTTGGATAAAAGTTGAGCTAAATTTCTCAAGAGTTTGCTGCCTTAGGGCTGTTGCCTCCCAAATGGACTTTTGTTTTTGGGTTTAGAGACAAAGCATTGCATTTATAAAGTTTTGTTTCTTTCATGTACTGCCCCATCTACCCTGAAAAGATGTAATTTCTTGTTTTCCAAGTTCCTCAATCACTTCATTCATTCATTCATTCAACAAATATTTGTTAAAAGCCCTAAGCTCTGTGGCAGGTAATAGGGATGGATAGGTAAGGAAAAAATATAATTCCAATTAACATAACAGGATTAAATATATTTATTTATTTATATGTTCTGTGGTTCCACAAAGAATTAAAGCATACCACTATAACCAATTTTCTAGTACAGATATTTTTTAAAACTTTTGGAATTTTGCAAAATTATATCTCTCCTTCCCCAACTTCTACCACTTGAATGATATGCATAGATTTTGAGACCACATTTTATCACAGACATACAGTGACTATACAGCTCTTCTAAGCCCTCTGCTTCTCTATATGTTTGAAGTTAGCACATACCCTTAGAGATTTTGTGTTGGTGTGCGTAATTTGTTCCATTATTTTCTTCGTTACCCAGACTTGAAATTCTGCCTTTGCTTTTCTGATTAAAATAGAAGCAATCAAACAGAAATTCCCTCATCTTACCAACACAAAATATACCAATCTACCTGCATCACTACCTGTAATCTCTGCCTTTCTTGCTGTTAGAATAGAAGATGTGGTCCTCTTATCAAAGCCCAGGTCTCCCCTGTACACTCCACCACTTTCCAGCCTTCTAAAAAAAAGTTACCTTCCGTAATTATGACATTATTAACTTTTCTTCCTCCATTTGATCATTTTCATTAGCATTAAAAAAACCTTTAGGTTTGTTCATTAAAAAAAAACTTCTTGACATTTTATTCACTACTATCCCTTTATACTACACCCTTCACAGTGAACATTCTTGACAAGGTTGTCTATAGTCTCTTCTCTATTGCATTACCTTCTATTTTCTCCTCAACTAATTCCTGTAGGCTTTCTGCCTCACCTTCCACTGAGATTGCACATTGAGATCACCAATGATTTGCATGTTTCCACATCCAACAGTAACACTTTTGCTCTTATATTTAGAGACTTCTCAGCAGCGTTGGCCATGGTGAACCCTTCTGTCCTCAAAAGCCTCTCTGAGTTTGGCTCTCAGATACTTCACTCTACTTCCTCCATCCTTACTGGCCATTCCTCTGCTGGTTCCTTATTCTCTGCTACATTTGAAATACCGGAAAGCCTCAGAGTTTGTAGCTGGGGATCTTTTTCTTCTTTAGTCTACACTCTCTTACTAGGCAATTTCATCCAGTTCCATGGAGTTAAATAATTCCGTATTTCCAGTGATCTGAAATTTCTTTCTCTAGCCTTGAACCTCACCTGAAATAGGCTTTTAGATCCAATTGACCTCTTGACATTTCCACTGGAATTTCTAATATGCAACTCATTAACATGCCTCAAACAAAACTTCTGAGATTTGCAAAACTTATCTTCCTCCTTGTTTTTTTAAACAATCATCAATACACCACAATCTATCTGTTTGCTCTAGGAAATTTTTCAATATATCACAATCTATCTAGTTGATCTAGGAAACATTTAGAAAACCTTTCCTTCCCTCTCTTTGCTGTCTAACCCATCAGCCATTCTTGTCAATTCCACCTCTGAAATATTTCCATGAACTCCATCTCAATAGCTACAAACTGGACTTCTTCTATTGTCTCCTAATATAGTGCTTGGCTTCTACTCCTATCATGCTATAATTCCTTTTTCACAGGTTGGCCAGAGTGACTTTTTTAAAAAACAGAATTTATATTATGTAACTGTTCTATTTAAACCTTCCAAATTAAAACCCCTAAGCCTGTCATCCAGCACCTTGTATAATGTGGGCTGTGTTTACTTCTCTGCCTTCACCTCTTTATACTCTTTTCCCACTACATCCCAGACACATTTGCCTTACTTGTGTTCTTCAAGCATGCCAAGCATGCCATTCGTTCTTTTCTTGGGGCTTTGTGTTTGCTGGTCCCCCTGCCAGGACACTTTGTCCCTAGATCTTTAGAAGGTTGGTTAATTCCCATCATTCAGGTCATTGAAAGAAGTTTTGTTTCTTTCATGACAGTCCCACCCATCCTGGAAAAATGTAATTTCTTGCTTTTCAAGTTCCTCAAATCACTTCATTCACTCATTCAGCAAATATTTTTTAAAGGGTCTAGAGCTTGTCCAACCTGCCTTATTTTGTTGTTGTTGTTCTATTTTGTTTTGTTTTAGGCTTTTAGAAGCCTGCAGCCATGGTGTTTAGTTTCTGTCTCTCTGAGGAAGGAGCTTTACTGGCTTAATCAGAAACAGAAACTAAGAACCCATGACTGTATTCTCTCCCTTGGACAGCCTGATAGGCTCTGTGGCAGATAATAGGGATGTAATTTGTCATTGTGTACATGCTAATTCCTTAGAGAGGCCTTCCTTGAGTACTGTCTATGTAATCAGATCCTAATCAGTCTCTATTGCCTTCTTTTATTTTCATCATAGCACTTATTGTTACCTGATATTTTTTATTTATTAATCACTTATCTTGTAGTAGAATATGGACTCGACAACAAAGAACTTGTCTGCTTTGTGCACTGTGGTATCACTAGTAGATATAACAGTGCATGATATTTGGTGGGTACTCAATAAATGTTGATAAAATTAATGGATAAATTACTAGCTAAGTAATTAATGGGCCTTGATTTTATCCAATATCAGCCCACATCTAGTGATGCCAAGTCCTGACAACTCTTACTTTATGATATGTATTTATTATCTATGCCACATCATTTCTACAGTTGGATTCTTTACTGTCTCCTTGAGAATGTTTTTTTTTTTTTCCTCCATCTGCATAGCCATACTATAGAGGGAGGCAGTAGAATGTAATAGTTAAATGCTTTTCAGACTGCCCATGTTTGCCATTTGCTGTTTGACTGGTAAATTGTTTGGCAAGTCTGTGCCTCTGCTTCCTCATCTGTAAACTGGGGATAGGATAATGATGGTACCCAGCTGTAGACAGCTGTGAGGAATTGGTGAGTTAATTGCTAGGAAACATTTGCACTGGAGCCTGGAAAGCATTGATAAGTGTTAGTTGTTTCTTTGCCTGTTCAGTTAACCTTCCTGAAACACTATTCTTATATCACTCCCTCACTCACCACACCCTGCAACCTTGTGTGCAGAAACTTCCAAGACTTCCCAATGCCCCCAAAATTGAGGCTTCAATCTGTCTTTCAAGGCTTTCCTCAATGTAGTCCCTATAACTTTCTTTATATTACTTTTCTTCATTCCATCATATGAACACTTCCACTCAGTCCAGTTCATGCACACACATTTTATTTCTGTTAATATTAATTAAAATCATGTGTTAGAGCCAGGCATTGTTGCTGGATATACACAAAAATGAAAGATACCGCCTTTGTCCTCAAACTCCACAGAGTTTCCTGAAGCCCCTATATCAGTCAGGATTCTCCAGGCACAAGAAACAGAAACTGACTCTCAAAAACTTAATAGGAAAAAAAAAGTATCAAAATGTATCAGAATTCAAGGAAAAGCTAGAGCAAGAAGAAACGACAAAACAAAACAAACAAAAAACCACGACAGACTCAGAAAGGATAACAACCAAAGTAGAACCTAAGTTATAGGAACTAAAAGATAGTATTCTCAGGGTCCTAATACCAGAAAAAGTGAGTATAAACAACTTTTCTGCCTTGCATCACTCTTTGTCTCAAGAGCCAAATCCCAGGAAAATAACATTTAATTAACCTGGACCGGGCTGCATGCCCACTCTTTAGTTACGGGAGGGCACAGTGATTCCTGGTCTTACCAACATTGTATCTGGAGGAAGAACTGTGCCTCAAAAAGAGGCACAACCTTACTGCCTCTTTAAAGCCTTCACAATCTGCCTGATTTCAATCATCATTGTCTTCTGGAAACTTTTATGGAAGTTATTAATTTGTACCTGACATTCAGCACTTAACATTACTTGCTCGCATTTTAATTTGTATATTTTATGTAAATATTATAGGTCCTTTAAAAAATGACTCCGTTGTGGCCTCCTTGTGGAGCAGCATTATTATATCTTCAGAACTTTTCTTTGTGCACCCAAAGAGGAAAGTGGCAAAACATCCATGAATGTTGCCCATACTGGTTATCTGAGGGGAAATAGACACATCTCCCTGAACAGATCTTTTATTTCTGCTCTGTTCTTCAAGTGCACCCCCATCCTCTCCCATTTCCCCAGTAGCACCAGGGATTTGATTTAGGCAGAAAGGCTGGGGTATTGCTTAGTATCTATGAGTCCTGGGTTGCCTCCTCTAAGGCTTGCCAGCTAACACTTTAGAAAACAGTGATGTTCTGCAATAATCAGGTATGAAACAGGTTTACAACATATTTTCACCTTTATTAACTCATTTAATCATGTCATTTCACCAAAATATTCTATTTGGCACATACAGAGGGATCCAGAGGCTCTGGCCAGCCCTGGATTCACAAAGCCAAGACTGGTCATTAGAGTAGCAAAGCAATGACCCAGAGTTGAGATATCCCCAATATCACCTTCCAGTCTTCTATACAATTATCTTAGTTACTATGTTTGCTTTTTATTTTCTGTCACTCCACTAGAATATAAGCTCCTCAAGATCAGAGATCTTTATGCTATGTTGCCTGATGTATCCCAAATTTCTAGTTGTGTTTAGCAGAGCACTTAAAAGAGCTGGTCAGACTTGCAATATAACCCTGACTCCACCACTTGCTGTAACCTAAAGCAAGTTACATATTTTCTCTGAGCCTCAGTTTCTCATTTCCTAAATGAAAATAAAATAGTGCTCATCTCCTAGATTTGTTAGGAGAATTAAATGAGAAAATGTATGCAAAGCACTTAGTATATTGCCTGGCACATAGAAAGATGATATACATTACTATAATAGTCAGCATTTGTATCTGTATCAAACAAATATTTATTGGGTACCTACTGCTGTGGTCTAAATGTGTTCCCCAAAATTCATATGTTAGAAACTTAACCCTCAATACAACAGTGTAAAGAGGTTAGGTCTTTTGGGAGGTGTTTAGGTCATGAGGGCCCTACCCTCATGAATGGATTAATGCTACTCTAACAAGGGCTTGCAATAGCAGGTTCACCCTATCTTGCCCTTCTGTCTTTTACCATGTAAGGATGAAGCAAGAAGGCCCACACCAAATGCTGACATCTTGATCTTGGACTTCCCAGACCTCAGAACTGTGGGAAACAAATTTCTGTTCTTTATAAATTATCAAGTCTGTGTTACTCTGTTATAGCAGGATAAATGTACTAAGACATGTATTATAAAGGATGTTGAGAATCCTCATATCAATAAGATGTGATTTTATAGTAGCGTTCAAGTATTTCACAGTCTAGACCTCAAACAGATAAACTAAAAACAAGATGTGATATAATATAATGTAATATGATATGTTTGATATGATAAGGGTAAGGCCAAAATACAACACAGGGAAAAGAACACTATTATGCCCTGAGTGGTCTAGAAGGGCTTCCTGGCAGATGTAACTCTGGAGAGGTATCCATAGGATTATTTAGGAGTTTTTCAGGCAAAGAAATATGAACAAGTCATTGTCATCAAAGATAATAGAATTAATAAAGTGCAAGGCGATTATAAGCAGTTTAGGGAAAAATTTTCAAAGTAGGGAAAGTGAGAGATAGGATTGAAGAGGTAGGAACTAGGTAATTCAGGGCTTAGTACAAGATGTTTGAAAACTTGTACTTTCTTCTTTTGGCAATATGGAATAATAAGATGTGTTTAAGAAAGAAAACAGCATAATGAGACGTTCATTGGCTGAGTCACTGGTAACTGCATGGAAGATGAATTTGAGGGGACAAGATCAGGTAACAGATTTCAATTAGAGAGTTACTACAAAAGTCAAAGTAGAAGACAACAAGGGACAAAAATAAGGCAGTGGAGAGGAAAGAAGAGGTTAAAGAAAAAATTTAAATCCCTAGGACTGGCTAATTGAATGGGGTTTAGGTTGAAGTTTGTAAGGAAGGTAGTCATGGGGAGTCTAAGAAATGAAAGTACTGAAAAGGGAAGCTCCTTCTGGCCAAATTCTTTCCAAAGCTGTTTTCAAATAAATAATTCCAGGACACCTGGTGAGACAGTGTTCATTTTCTTCTTCTTTTTTTTTTAATTTTCTTTTTAATTTTCAGCAAGGCAAGTTACTTCTATGTAGAAGGGTGCACCCTTACAGATGGAACAATGGTGAGCGCACACTTGGACAAGGGAGGGGAAGGGGTTCTTATCCCTGACGCATGTGGCTCCTGCTGCTGTGTTGTTTCCCTATTGGCTAGGGTTAGACTGCACAGGCTAAACTAATTCCGATTGGCTAATTTAAAGAGAATGACGGGGTGAGTGCTTTGGCGGGAGTCAGGGCAGAGCAGGTAGCAGGTAATCGGAATGAGTTAGGGTGGAGCAGGTGATTGGAATGAGTCAGGGTGGAGCAGGTAATCAGAATGAGTCAGGGTGGAGTAGGTAATCAAAAAAGATTGCTTTACGAGGAAGTTAAGTTTAAAAGTAGAAGGCAAAGAATTGAACATAATGACATATTAATTCTTTGAAAAGAAATTTAGAATTCATATCTAACAACCCCTCCTCTTGTATTTCCTTACAGCTTTCTTTTCAAACTTTTTAAACATAGCTTAGTTATTTTGCTTGATTTTCTAAAAGAAGAAGCTTCTCTGGATAAGGTGGAGGACAGTTAAGGAAGGTTTTAGTAAGTGCCATTTTTATGAGCCTCTGCACCAACTTACGGATACATGGTATGACACAGCACCCGACAAGAATAAGTACACCTATAACGGCTGCGAGGGAAATAAGAATTGAGGCTATTATTCCTTTCCATTTACCTAACCACTTTTCTAGCCATCCTGTAAAGGGGTCATTTACCCTTGAGTTGCTGGCTAACTCATTGGATAGAGCAGTCAGACCTTGCAATGCCTTTGTTATACTTCCATTAGAGGCAGTGTTGTTTGGGATGAAGGTGCAACATTGAGTTTTAATCATGATGCAAACTCCTCCTCTTTCTGCTAATATCATGTCTAAGGCTATCCTATTTTCCCAAGCCATCTGGCTAGTAGCCCCTAATTGTTCAGCTATTCCTTTAACGGCATCTCTAGTGTAGTTAATAAATCGCTGTTGGTTGTAATAGATGTAGTTTATCCAATCTACATTTTTACTAACTGTCACCCACCAAAATATTGACTCAAATCCTGCAGCTATTTGATTTCGGGCTTTAAATTGATCTGGTATTCCCCATGGGACTCCAATTGCGTCTAAATAGACATGGGAGTTGAAAGACCCATAAGGGGCTTCTCTCGCTTTATGATGTTTATTTTTCCTCCCTCTGGTTGATGAAATGCCAGGGTGAAAGGGATAGCCAATTGGACTAAAGCACAAGTGCCACTCCAGTTATTCGGCAGAGTGTCCAGTAAAGGTCCACCACAATACCACCACACATCCACTTGGGGATGAACAAGGGCTGACTTATTGGTAAGCTCTTGAAAGTTCTTAAGCTAACTGCATGTCTTCAGGTCTCCAAGGAATGCTAAGTTTCCTCCCTGTCATGGGAGACACAAAGTGAACTTAGTGTTGGGAGATGGAAGCTGGATGGCCCTCACGGGCTGACCTGCAGGGTGGCGAACTTCGGGATATAGCAGAGAGAGAGCTTGGTAAGACTTATTACTCCAGGCTGTAGACAGTGTTCATTTTCAGCTGACCTTATAGTATCATATACCTGTCTCTTCTTTCTGATGGCACAGACATGTCTTTGAGGACTTATCAGTCTCCATTGTCTTTTATTATCTTTTATGGGCAGCGTTTGCATTTTAAATGTGTTCTCTTTAAAATGCAAGAACAAGATCAAAAGAAACAAATTTCTTAGTAGGAGCCAGAAGATTCAAAAGTCATTCTTATTTCTATTAAGTACTGTAAAATGGATTCAGTACTCTAGCCTCAGTTTCTATGGCTGATAAAATAGTAGAATCCATGCATTCCCTTCATGTTGAGCAATTGAGCAAGACATGTAAGAACTTTTAGCAACAATAACAAAAACCATTAAAATAATCTTGTCCTTTTAAAATATCAAATGTATTGTCAAGGTGATTAAGCACTGGTTTGGTTAAGGTCTCCTCCCCCTATTTTGTAAGGTTTTTAAACATATTTAAATTAACAAGCATTTGTTGGTATCCAACAACACGCCAGACTCACTGGCATTTACGATGTTGCTTACAGCATATCCTTTTAAGTTATAACTCACCAAGCTCTGAAAATTGTCACATTTTTATTGAAGCCCTTTCACTTTTCCTTTCCATTAGTTTTCACATCTCAGTTTTATAATCCTTATCCCTAGGAAACTAAAGCCTTGCCCTAGATCTGTGCACACTGAGATTTCAGGATAACCCATTTGCTTCACATAAATATCAAATATAAATTTCAAATTGATAGAATGCACATGAAAATCAGTGTAACTTTGCAGGATCTATGTCCCATTCTTGTTCATTTTCCTACTATACATATGACAGAAAGGAAGAACTCATTATACATTTTTTGAATGAGTGAGTGAAAATGTTGCCTTACTTCAGGACAAGGTCTAGGTCTGGTGGACTATAGTTTCTAAAATGATATTAAACTAGTAGGGCGAAAAAATCTGCCTCAATTTTCCCCTTTCTTATGACCAGAATTCTTTCCAGTTCTTCATCACTTCTTCCTATGGCAACTATTTATCTTCTTTGGCAATCCCTATCATGAAACGATATACCATGACAACTGTATTCAGAGACAGAACTTGGTCTCTATTTTCTCTAAATCATGAGGCACATAGATAATACTATATTTCATCTTGGCAATGTGTGTGTGTACTGGATAACTTCATGAGCATCAGAAAGAAGAAATATAGGAATCCTGTAGGAGGGGAAAAATAAGTATTCTCCTTGTGTAGAGAAAATAAGTATTAGAATATGGTTACTTAACAGATCTAACAACAAAATTTTTCTGAGTAATTTTTATTCATCTTGAACTACATACAGACTCATAGTTCCATCAAGCCATCCACAACTAAGACCTGAAGTAGGATCTGGCCTGCTTCATAGGTCCTAGTTTCCAGTCTTTGGGAAACTAGCACATAAACCTTATCTTGGAAAGCAAAAGAAAAAAGGTAAATAAACTATTTTAGATTTCTGCTATATACCTGGCTGTAGATTAGATACTTTTATGAATATTACACTAAGTTGTGATCCCTATGTGAGCAGCCATCTTGAATGTGCTGCTCGAGACTATATCCAGAGCTTAGTCATGCCAAACACACAGTATGTGTTCAATAATAATAACAGTAACTAAGATTGGCTGGGTACTTTTTACATGCCATGCACTGTTCCAAGCACCTTTCATATACTAATTCATTTTATTCTCATACTGATACTATACTCTCCATTTTATAGTAGAGGAAACTAAAGCTAAGATGCGAGAATAAAGTAACTTGACCAAGGTCACATAGGTAGGAGGGCCAAGATGCAAATCTGAGCAGTCCAGCATTAATCCTTAATCCCTGTATTAGGCTTGTTGAATGAATAAGTTAACATTGTGCCCTTTAAGAACAAGTAACTTTTTATACTGGGATGGTTCTGAGGTTGATGCAAATGTACCTTTTCCAAAGCCCTAGTGCTTGCCTTCTGTTACCCAGATAAAGCAGTAAGTTTTCCTTCTTGCTTCATAAATTTCAGGTAAAGCCTTTCCCCCCTGTACTTCACCTCTTGTTCTTCACAGCTCAGTAGTAATCATCAGCCCATAATGCAGTGTAGAATTGCCAACACCATCCCGATGATGTAGTTATTTCCAATTGGCACTTGGGAGCAGTGAGGATAGGAGGCATTACTCATAGCCAAGAGTACAGATGTTTCTAATTGCTTTCCATTACCAAGAATAACAGCTGTTTACATCTATCAGCAAATAATTCACAAGAGCTCCAGACTATTAAGATAACACACCCCACCTGGTCACCATCACAAGTTGTCAAGGCCAAGATAGAGGCTGCCAGAATTCCCTTCTGCATCTCTGTTCATCAACTGACAGCATGTGTCACCTTCAGATATCCTTATGCTTCCCCACAAGCTCTGGCTTCTTGGTGGCCTGACACATCAAATGGACATATGGATTCTTCATGGCTTTGCAGTAAATGTTTTATGGCTATCTTGCAGCCAAGGGCAGCTGACATGAAGAAGCAAGGGACTTGCAAATAGCCTGATGAAAGAATTTCTGCACGTTTTTAAAAGAAGAGGAATACATGTTCTGCTTAGAGGAGTTTCACAGCTGCAATATGCTTAACTTCTTTAATGCACCCACAAATTGCATTAGGTGATAGATTATGCAGTTCAGTAGCATCCCAGGGACCTGGTCATATGCTTGGATACAATCCCCAAAATGGACAATGTTCACAGTTCAATAAACTTTATCACATAGTTTTATTGACCACAAAAGAAGACAAATATTAAAACACATTATAGATATTAGGGTTAAAAAGACCAGTGGTACCTCCTTGCCGATACAACATTGACCCATATTGCATATTTTTCTTCCAGACTAGTTTAAAGTGACTCAGGTATTTGGTCTGTATTATTTTTTCCATGGAGACAACTTCAGAATCTAATACAACTTTCTGTGTTCCTGCTGCACCTGAATTTATGTCTGAAATTGGCTTTCTATACATTTAGACATATTTTTTAGTGCATGGATTTTAACCTACTAAAAATAATGGAACCTCATCTATTTAAAACTATATTATGTGTTTACAAAGCTATATTAACTAAAAAATTTCCTTGTGGTTTGTGGTAGCTTATCTCCAAGGGGCCCACCATCAATTCCTGCCTTCTATATATGTACTTGTATGTCACTCCCCCATCGAAAGGTGGAATCTATGGAGTCCTTTGAATCTCGGCTGACCTCTCATTGCTTGAACCAGCAAGATATGCCACAATCTTGCTTTGCCAGTTCTGGGCCTAATTCCTAAGAGGACTGGCAGTTTCTATTTTTCCTCTTTTGGAACTCTCTCTTTGAGGGAAGCCAAATGCCATGTAAGAGCCCTTACTACCCTGAGGCCTCCAGGCTGTCAGGAAACCCAGAGTAGCTATGTAGAAGAACTGTATGGAGAAAAAGTGGTAATAGCAGCCCCCATCAACTGTTCCAGCCGCTCAAGAATGCCAACCATTCCAACCATCTCTAGCAATTCAACCCGTTCCAGTAGAGGCTCTAGATATCATGCAGTATAGACAGGTTGTCCTTGAATTATTGACCCACAGAATGTGAGCATCGGAAAAAATGTTCAATGTTAAGTAACAATTAGTAACTGGAACATAGCCCCCACCTTACTTTCTATGAACCCCTGTTAATTTCTTAGCATTACTCTATAATACTGATGACATAACTCCTGAGATAAAAACCTCTTTACTAAATCATAATTCATACCCTAAATATCATTGTAGTTTCTAATCAAAAGAAACAAAAAGACAAAAGTTAAGGGCTTATAATGCACCTTACTCCTTTTCTTTTCCTCTAAATCTGTGTCTCATTCCATTGTCAATGAAGAGTTTACTATATAGTTTTGCCCATAAAACAAGCTATTACATATTTTAGGCCCCTGCTTCTGCACAGGATATCAATTCAAATCACTGTACTTAGTTTTTCTGGTCTAAATATATATCTGACAGTCTGGTTTAAATTAGAATAAAATCCTCACTTCCTTCCAGGAAATTTGGTTCTTTTAATAGAACTCCAACAAGTTTGGAAAACTGTACAAATTCTCTTTTCACAACATCAAATATGAATCTGTAGATGCTATTGGGAAAAGTATGAGTTTTAAAACCTAAAGAAGTTATTGTATTACTTACAAATACATTTCTTTTATCTTATTAACAGAGGGGAAAGTTCAAAATCTGTGGAGCCTTATTTGTGTATATAGCATAGTATATATGTATATATACACACACATATAATATATGTGTGTGTTGTATATGTATGTGTGTATCTTCTATGTGTGTATATATCTCTATATGTGTGTGTATATATATGTGTGTGTGTGTATACATATATATATATATGTTTGTCAGGAAGAGTTATAATATACATTAACAAGTTCATGGCATTCATTTAGTCACTTTACATACGCTTAATGATCATGAGAAGACTACTGCATTAGAACATAGACTCTCTGGATTCTAGGTCTCTATGCCAGCCTCTCTACCACACCCCCTACCTGGTTCTTAGAAGACTGGCATGATACCATGAGTTCCCTTTCACTTCATTAGCCAAATGAATTTACACAGCCTAATTTCTACTGTACAATATTTTAGTAAGAAATTCAACATTTCAACATTACTTAAACATTGTTTTCTTAATTTGGTCTAATTTTATAGCAAAATTAGGAAACAGCGAGTTAGTTTCTTCTTAATAACGTTAGGGTGCTAAAGTACCAATATTAGCTCACTCTTTAAGTTGAAAAGAATTATTTCCCCTAATTAAATTTAGTTATTTATCAATGGCACAGATTTTCTTAAACTATCAAGAAATCGCACCATTTATTGTTCACAAGGAAACAAATTTTTATGTTCTCCTTTACCAAAAAAAATACAAAGTGTCCATTTTCACAATATTGATTCTTCCTACCCATGAGCATGGAATGTTCTTCCATTTGTTTGTATCCTCTTTTATTTCCTTGAGCAGTGGTTTGTAGTTCTCCTTGAAGAGGTCCTTCACATCCCTTGTAAGTTGGATTCCTAGGTATTTTATTCTCTTTGAAGCAATTGTGAATGGGAGTTCACTCATGATTTGGCTCTCTGTTTGTCTGTTGTTGGTGTATAAGAATGCTTGTGATTTTTGTACATTGATTTTGTATCCTGAGACTTTGCTGAAGTTGCTTATCAGCTTAAGGAGATTTTGGGCTGAGACAATGGGGTTTTCTAGATATACAATCATGTCATCTGCAAACAGGGACAATTTGACTTCCTCTTTTCCTAATTGAATACCCTTTATTTCCTTCTCCTGCCTAATTGCCCTGGCCAGAACTTCCAACACTATGTTGAATAGGAGTGGTGAGAGAGGGCATCCCTGTCTTGTGCCAGTTTTCAAAGGGAATGCTTCCAGTTTTTGCCCATTCAGTATGATATTGGCTGTGGGTTTGTCATAGATAGCTCTTATTATTTTGAAATATGTCCCATCAATACCTAATTTATTGAGAGTTTTTAGCATGAAGGGTTGTTGAATTTTGTCAAAGGCTTTTTCTGCATCTATTGAGATAATCATGTGGTTTTTGTCTTTGGCTCTGTTTATATGCTGGATTACATTTGTTGATTTGCATATATTGAACCAGCCTTGCATCCCAGGGATGAAGCCCACTTGATCATGGTGGATAAGCTTTTTGATGTGCTGCTGGATTCGTTTTGCCAGTATTTTATTGAGGATTTTTGCATCAATGTTCATCAAGGATATTGGTCTAAAATTCTCTTTTTTTGTTGTGTCTCTGCCCGGCTTTGGTATCAGAATGATGCTGGCCTCATAAAATGAGTTAGGGAGGATTCCCTCTTTTTCTATTGATTGGAATAGTTTCAGAAGGAATGGTACCAGTTCCTCCTTGTACCTCTGGTAGAATTCGGCGGTGAATCCATCTGGTCCTGGACTCTTTTTGGTTGGTAAGCTATTGATTATTGCCACAATTTCAGCTCCTGTTATTGGTCTATTAAGAGATTCAACTTCTTCCTGGTTTAGTCTTGGGAGAGTGTATGTGTCGAGGAATTTATCCATTTACAGATTCAATGCCATCTCCATCAAGCTACCAATGACTTTCTTCACAGAATTGGAAAAAACTACTTTAAAGTTCATATGGAACCAAAAAAGAGCCCGCATCGCCAAGTCAATCCTAAGCCAAAAGAACAAAGCTGGAGGCATCACACTACCTGACTTCAAACTTTACTACAAGGCTACAGTAACCAAAACAGCATGGTACTGGTACCAAAACAGAGATATAGATCAATGGAACAGAACAGAGCCCTCAGAAATAACGCCGCATACCTACAACTGTCTGATCTTTGACAAACCTGAGAAAAACAAGAAATGGGGAAAGGATTCCCTATTTAATACTATGGTGCTGGGAAAACTGGCTAGCCATATGGAGAAAGCTGAAACTGGATCCCTTCCTTACACCTTATACAAAAATCAATTCAAGATGGATTAAAGATTTAAACGTTAGACCTAAAACCATAAAAACCCTAGAAGAAAACCTAGGCATTACCATTCAGGACATAGGCATGGGCAAGGACTTCATGTCCAAAACACCAAAAGCAATGGCAACAAAAGACAAAATTGACAAATGGGATCTAATTAAACTAAAGAGCTTCTGCACAGCAAAAGAAACTACCATCAGAGTGAACAGGCAACCTACAAAATGGGAGAAAATTTTCACAACCTACTCATCTGACAAAGGGCTAATATCCAGAATCTACAAGGAACTCAAACAAATTTACAAGAAAAAAACAAACAACCCCATCAAAAAGTGGGCGAAGGACATGAACAGACACTTCTCAAAAGAAGACATCTATGCAGCCAAAAAACACATGAAAAAATGCTCATCATCACTGGCCATCAGAGAAATGCAAATCAAAACCACAATGAGATACCATCTCACACCAGTTAGAATGGCAATCATTAAAAAGTCAGGAAACAACAGGTGCTGGAGAGGATGTGGAGAAATAGGAACACTTTTACACTGTTGGTGGGACTGTAAACTAGTTCAACCATGGTGGAAGTCAGTGTGGCGATTCCTCAGGGATCTAGAACTAGAAATACCATTTGACCCAGCCATCCCATTACTGGGTATATACCCAAAGGAATATAAATCATGCTGCTATAAAGACACATGCACACGTATGTTTATTGCGGCATTATTCACAATAGCAAAGACTTGGAACCAACCCAAATGTCCAACAATGATAGACTGGATTAAGAAAATGTGGCACATATACACCATGGAATACTATGCAGCCATAAAAAATGATGAGTTCATGTCCTTTGTAGGGACATGGATGAAATTGGAAATCATCATTCTCAGTACACTATCGCAAGAACAAAAAACCAAACACCGCATATTCTCACTCATAGGTGGGAATTGAACAATGAGATCACATGGACACAGGAAGGGGAATATCACACTCTGGGGACTGTGGTGGGGTGGGGGGAGGGGGGAGGGATAGCATTGGGAGATATACCTAATGCTAGATAACGAGTTAGTGGGTGCAGCGCACCAGCATGGCACATATATACATATGTAACTAACTTGCACAATGTGCACATGTACCCTAAAACTTAAAGTATAATAAAAAAAAATACAAAGTGTCCTTAATTACTCCTGAATATAGTTCAATTTAGAGGAAGAAAGGATTCCTTATGCAGTCATTTGACCCTACATTGAGAGTCTTCAAAGTAAAGATGTCCAAGATACATAGTCACTTCTTTTGGAGTCAGTATTTCTTTTGAAATTGCAAAATTACTTGTGTTGCAATGAAACACAGACTCTTTACTCACAAACTGCCCAATCTGAGTACAGTAAAGAACTCTTCTCCGGCATAACTTTGGGCAGGGTGATGAAGCAGAGAAATGTCTAGCCATTAGCCTCCTTGGCAAGTCAACATTGACCTCTCGTAACTTTACCCTCAATCTTTCATTCATACTAAAGTGATCTTTAAAAGATCTAATGGAATCAGAGTTCCAATATTTGATATGAACTTTACAATTGTAAACTTTGTAAATACCAGAATTGATGTTAAATAAACTACTGATTATTCTATTGATATGTAAGGCCATCCCTAAGTTTGTATCATATTTTTTAAACATTTTATTTTGAAATAATTACAGATTCACAGGAAGTTTCAAAACAGTAAAAAGAATCCTTTGAACCTTTCCTTCAGATTCATCAATGCTCCACAGATTTTGAAATTTCCCTTTTCCATTGTCCATATTAAAATACCAGAAGATAAGTATATTCTTAATAAACATGACAAAGTTGCTTTCACATTTGTCTTCAAGGGCTGCAGGAAGACAGCTAGTTATTAATTAGATTGCAAGTAGGATGATGCTAATATAGTACTGGTGAACATACTTGTTTCCAGGCTGGCATGATATGGCATGCAAGTTGGCATGCAGTGTTATATGAACATATGGCAGGCAGAAGCTGCTGTTTCCTCCTAGGAAACAGCAATGCAAACGTCAGCTCCCACAGTACTGAAGACACACACCCTAAAACTCTCCAGTGCTGTTGGGGGCTTAGTGCACATGCCATTTCCCAGTCATCAGGATGGGAAATAAACTCTACCTGTGGTGTCACACCAACAACTATGGGAACTGAAATTCTGTTCCCCCAAGAAGAGGAGGACACAACCAGAAGTTCTCACTGAAGCTTTTCTGTCAGAGTTCAATCTAGGGGACTTGTATTTGCAGTTATGAGATTCCATTGTAAAGAAGATTTTACCTGGGAAAACTTCATCCACTCAAATAGTTTACTCCTTTGCCTCCAAACAAGTATATGCTTAAAACTAGAAGAAACCACCACCTTCATTTTGCAGTAGAGAAAACAGAAGCATTCTATGACCTGTCCAAATGTTCAGAGTCTGAATCTCATTAAATATTCAAGGCTTTCCACTTTTTTAGAATTGTACTGCTAAAGCAATTCATCCTTCATTACTAAGCCTCTCCCCAAGTGTAATAATCTTCACTCTCTGAAAATTCATCCAACTTGTGCCTGAATCTCTACCACTGAAATCCATTTTCTTCATTCTATTCTCCGTGGCAGAAAAGCACATTTAATTTGTAATAAACTCACATCTTTTTGAAGACCATTATTAAATTTTTCTCAGCTTTCCCTTCATCAAACTACGTAAATGAATTTGCTTCAGGAAGAAGGTTATGAAATAGGTGTATGTTCTTGACTATATTTATATCTACTCAAAGGATTCCTATTTGCTTAAAATATAAGCTTGATACAATGTGGGTAAATTATCCACATTCTATGAAATATACTATACAAAGATAATTTAGCTAAACATGCTTTTTGTCTTTCACTGTGCTTTTTAAACAAACAGTTTAAAATCTATGAGTTGGTGGAATATGTTATTTAAAAAGACCTTACTCGTTTAATGGAAAAATTCTTCATTGAAAGAGTGAAGCCCTAATTACATTCAATAAATGTATCTTTTCCTTCCTCTTGGTCTCTGCTTTCTACTCCCAAATGCAATGATGACTCAAAAAAGCTAATAGAGAATAGTAAGGGATGAATCTTCTGTGATTCACTTACCCCCCAAAATGGGAAGTTCTTATACCAGTTATTTGGAAGAGTTCTTCAGGTGCCTTCAACCGGAAGAATACGTTTTATAAAATTATTCTTTCCTTGTGCAAAAGGATTCTTCTGTGTTGGAGAGTGCAAAACCGTCAGCTTCTGTGAGAGCTTTGCTTCTGCCTGCCTCTGTTAGCCAGTTGCAAGGACCAGCACGCCAAACTGTAAGAGAGCAGGGGCCCTGAGGTGCCTGAACTAGCAATTCCATCATGCTGAGGGGCAAAAACCTGAACAATCACTGTGACTGAAATCTAGGTTTCTTTTGTCTCTCTTCAGGCAGTCCTGAGTATTTGTTTTTTATTCCTATGGTTGTTATTGTTGTTGGATGTTTCTATGTGATTTGTTGTTTTTCCAGAGGGGGAGAGTGCACATCAGGTTGCCTGCCAAGCAGAGCAGAATGCCATTAGGAAGAGAGCTACTGCTCTGTGTGAGTGAGCTGCCTCCATCACGGGGGATTTATCTCTGCGAGTGCCGATCATAATGGATTCCTTCACTAAATGACTTTGGATGTGCAGGGCTTTGGCAGAGGCCCTGCAAGTCCCACATTCTGTTATAAAACTGAATGCCAATGTAATGGATGCTAAGGAGAAGTGGGGATATGAGGGCAGGTGGGTGGGAGAGAGTTATGTGTACAGTGGCATAGACAGCCACCCTGGACAGAGGGAGTAGAGGAATGTGAGGTTGATACTGAGTTTTCCCAACTGGCAAAAGGACCAAGCATGGACCCAACTAATTCAAAGGAACATCAGTCATAATTCTAAACAGGAGAAACAAACAATAGAGAAACACATGTTTTAATAAGCAGATGTAAAGTGCTCTAAAGAAAAATATAGCTGAGGCAGGAGGATTACTTGGGCCAGGAGCTTGAGACCAGCCTGGGCAGCAAAGCAAGACCCTCATCTCTACAAAAAAATTTAAACCACCAAAAAACAAAAAAAAACACAGAATCTGGGGATAAGAGAGTGAGGCAGGGCAGATCAGTGTTATTTCATAAAACTTGGTCATAAAACCTCTTTCTCATAAATTGAAATGAGCCAAGGACTGATGAGGTGAGGGAGTAAGCCATGCATTTAACTGGAGAAAGAATTTCAAGAAGAAGAAACAGTAAATGCAAAGGCCTTGAGGCAGGAGTGCAATGGCTGCTGAGCTGTTCAAAGAACAGCAAGATACCCCATAGGTGTAAGCTAAAGAAAGTGCAATAGGGGAGAGCCTGATAGGCAGCAGGGGCCAGATCAGGTTGAGCCAGGGGCCAGTGTAATAATTTGAAGTTTTATTCTCAGTGAGAGGAGTATCAGCAGAGAGTTTTGAACAGAGGACTAACTTGTTTGGACTTAAGTTTTAAGAGAAATTACCCTGCTGCTGTGTGGTGAACAGATTGCAGGAGAGCAAAAGTGGAAAAAGGAATACCAGTTTGGAGGTCATTAGAGAAGTCCATTAGAGAAATGAGGGTGAGTTGGAGCAGGGTTGTATTAACAGAAGTAGAGGAAAATGGGGAGACTTGAAATATGATTTGAAGGTAAAGCCAATAGGATTTGTTGATAAATTGGATGCAGAGTTTAAGAAAATGAGAGGCATGAGGATGACTCCAGATACTTTATCCGACCAACTGGGAGGATGGGATTGCCATTTATTGAGATAGGGAAAATTGTAAAAGGAAAGGTTTTAGGAGACAATTAAGAAGCATAGTTTAGACACTTTAAGTCCAGAAATGCCAATTTGATATTCAAACAGAGAACATGAGTAGGCAATTGGGTATTTGAATATGGAATTCAAAATGCAGAGACCTTATCAATGGGATCTAGCAATAATAAAGAAGTTGGACATGGAGCTTCAGTAGAATAGAGATAGTCATCAAAGCTATGAAACCAGATCAGATAACCTATGAAATGAGTGTAGGTTAGAAAAATTTCAAGGATTGAGACCCGATGCATTTAGAGAAAGGTAAGGATGGTCCATTAAATGAGACTGAAAAGAAGTGCCCAGTGTGGCAAGGAAAACAAAAAAAGAGCACTGCCCCAGCAAACACAGGCAGTGTTTCAAGGAGGAAGACTGAAGACCTGTGCCAAATGCTGAGATAAAGAAGTACACATGAGATCTGGCCGTGTGAAGATCGCTGGTGAGCTTGACAAAGTCAGGTATTTTGGAATGGTATAGATAAAAGTCAGAATCATGCAAAGAGAATAAGAAGAAAGTATGTGAAAGACAGTGAGAATAGACAACTCTTTTTGTTAGTTTTGCTGTAAAAAGAGAAGAGAAATAGAGTAGGAACTGAAGGAGAATGATAGATCAAAGCAAGTTTATTTTAAGATGGGAGATTTACAGCCTATTTTTGTAGTGACGGTAATGATACAAATTTTTAAAAAAATTTATGTTACAAGAGACGAAGTCATTGTAGGAGAGAAGTCCTCAAAAGGAATAGAACCTGTAGTTTAAGATCCAACAGACATAAAATCAACTCTGTCAAATTGTTATAAAAGTTTCTATACATTTATTCTCCATTTCTGTACTGTCTCATCACAGACTAGTAACAGTTTACTAGTCCATGACCAACAATGGTTCATGGTTGTACTTTAGTGCTGATCTAGTGCACGAGCGGAAGTGTTGATTTAAACAGGAGAAGAGACAATACATGCAAAGTTAAATATTGGGAGGGCAAGGCTGGGCACAGTGGCTCATGCCTATAATCCCAATTCTTTGGGAGTTGGAGGTGGGGGTATTGCTTAAAGCGAGGAGTTTGAGACCAGCTTGACCAGAATATATGGAAGGCAGAGTATATGGGCTCAGAAAAGATAGAAATGGTAGACTTCTAGAAGCATGTGAAGGTTGTCTTCATTTGGCTTTTATTTCCTTAGTGAAGATAAAGTGGAAGTGAAGATGAGGGATGGGGTGTTGGGGATTCAGAAGAGAGAAGATGTAAAGTAGTCTAGAAAAGTGAGAGTATAAATTGACTAAGAAAATATGGAGGGATTTCCAAGTAGTGCTAAGTGAACGGAATAGGAGAAAGGTTGTATTTAACCAGAGTCAGAGAGAATATGACAGAGGGAAAGAAGGCAAGGAAGGAGAAAGTGTTTTTTGATAACATCTCCCAGATAAATTCATAATCGTACAATCCTGTTGTCAGCACTCTTGTAAAAGCACTCATTGTTAACTAGTTTTCCTCTGCCAATATATTCTGCATGTTACAACCACATTAGTCTTGCTAGACCTCTACATTTATGGTACCATTCAGTTAGCCCAAGAATTCTCAATGCTTTCTTTTTGTTCCAGATACAAGCTCTGCCTGCTGTTCAGGAACTCCCAGAGCTCAAACTTTCACTTTCTTGAGCATGCACTAGGTCATTTCTTCTAGTCATTGCTCATTGTTAATTTTTTTAACCTCATACTTGTACACATCCACACTCATCCTTCCACACATGCATGCAAATATACACCCTACAGGAAAGTTTTCATGCTTCTAAATGTCATCCATATCTTGTACTTCCTTCAAGATTGTTAAAGTCGTATTTTAATTTTATGAACTTTTATTGAATATCTATTATGCACTAGTCACTGTGCAAAAGGAATAAAAATACCACGATTTTTCTTGTTGTCTTTTTGATCCAGACAATCATTGTTCTCTCCCTTATCTAAATTATTATGCTATTCATAGTTTTTAACACGCATCTATGTATTTTGACTATTTATGCCCTAGGTATTCTCTAGCCATTTTATTTATTTAAATCCTGTCATCCCTTTTATATGTAAGTTTCTACAAGGTGGGGACAGTTTTGTATTTCTTTCATAGTACTAGCATGATGATAGATATATAATACTCACTTAATAAATACTTGGTGACTCTATAACCTTATTAGGACTTGAGAACTGCATGTCTTTGGAATAGTAGGGCTCACAAAATATCCTTATATTTATGCCCTTTAGAACACATTTACTACATAAACTTGGGTGTGTTTGGCTTCTATCAACAAAAACTAAACAAATAGAGTTTCTTTTTATTATAAAAGTCCATAATTAGGCAGTACTCATAATTGGTTCAGCCACTCAAGAACACAGACTCTACTACCATTTTGTCCTTAGGCTTCTGGTAGCAAGACTCATGCAAAGAAAGAATGCAGGACTGAGAATACTTGCAAAAGTTAGATTTCTCCTTGTTGCTGAATAAGAAGATGTTTCTCACAAATTTCCCTATTCCCCCCTATATATTATTAACAAGTACTTAGTTACATGGCCACCCATAGCTGCAAGTGAGACTAGAAAAGTGACTAGATTTGTTCAGCCCTCATTAAAGATGTGGCAAAGGCAGAAGGAATTATGAAGAACAGCTATATTGATCAAACATTTGTTTGTTTGCAATATTTGTTTAGCCTGTTTCTTCTAAACTCATTAATTCTTTGCATAGATCTCTAAGTCTAAAACATCACACTATTCTATTTCCAATATCTACAACTTCTTTTCTTATGTTTTACTAGCTTGTCTTTGCATGTTTTTCAGCAGAAGTTCTAGTTCTTTCTTGGATCCACTAACATAATTGGAAATTATACTTTTCATGCTTGATTATACAATTTTAGGCACTAAGTATCATTAGAATTGCTTAAAGACTGGGTACGAATCCATTGACCACTTTATTCCCACAAACTTTCAGTCCACACCATTATATTCAAAAGATATTAGGTTCTCCTCAGATATCCAGTTCTCTCTAATGTTTTAATAGTCTTTTGAAGAAAAAAAAATGAGAGCAAGTGGGTATCATCGGGAAACACTAGATTATAGACGGATATGTAGGCTTCTTAACTTTAATATTTTTCAGCTATTTTTATGTGCTAACATTTAGTCAACTCTTCAAAAGGAGTATATAATATCCACTGTTTTCCACTATTTAACTGCATGATTTACTTTTTCAGAGAGCATTTTGTAGAACCATTGTTTAAAGGAAAATTCCTTGCAGAATGCTGCTCTCGATATTTCTACACACTTGGATGTCACATGAGGACTCAGGACTTTATTTTAAATGGCACAGAACACAATTATACTACCTAGCTTAAACCTCATGGTCTCACTGGTTTCAAAAGCACTATATTCTTCCACGTTCAACTTCTGAGTAATTATCTATTTCCCAGTTGATCCATGTACATAGGTTTTAGTTCTAGCCCAGGGTACAGGTACACTGTGTTCCGATCCTACCCCTGCCTCTTCTCCCAAATCAGTATTAAAAATTAATGTAAAAATCATGGTCGCCTGAGATTTTCTATTACACTGATTCTTAGACCCTATTCTTTATATAGTTGACTTGGAGAGTACGGTGACTACAGTATCATACAACTCTCTGAAAATTCACACTGTTGCCTATTGAAATAGTAGAATCTTAGAAGGGGTTTCAGTCACTTGGTTTCACACTCAGCCAAAACAATACCTGAAGCATACAAGGAAGATAGTCATGTTGTCCAAGGGTATCCAGACACGCTATAAGTAGAAGAGCCCAAATTTTCCAATGTCATCAAGAAGGGGGACTGCATTAAAAATAATAATAACTAGGCTATTCTTTGTGTATAATAAAGTCTTTGTTAGAGCATCCTCAAATGTCTTAATGGTGCCACTTTATTTTAGCCCTTTCAAAAGACATTAATTTAAACCATATATCAATGTGCTCACTAATGTAATTATTAACCTTTCTTTTTCATTTTCACTTCAAGGCCTACTGATATAGTTCTAAAAAATGACATATAGCTCTAAGGCCAAAGGGGATTTACAATTGGTTTTTATAACACCATAGATGTAATATTTTGAAAAGACTTTACAAAAGTAATATAAATGTGAAAATGATTTGCTGGTTTTAAAGGAGCTTTATAAAACAATGCATCTTTTGTTCTTTCCCCCAATGTTTCTAGCCAAGTAAAGACAGTGTTTTTAGAAATGGAGAAATAAACTAAGTTTCTTCATTTGGAGGACTATAAATGACTCCCTCAAAGTCAAAGAAAGAGTAGGTTCATCATCACGATTTCAGCTCTGATTTTCTAGATGAAGTTGAGTTTCCCTTTCTTTCTTGTTAAAGTTTATTTCCAGGCCAAGCCTGTGTTCAGGTTAGTTTCAATCAGTGTTCAGCAGAGATGGAAATCAGCTGGCTACAATCCTGCACATGCTTTCCTAGCCTAGAGGATGGAGAGTCAAAAGCGGGACTCTATGTACACTGTACCTAAAATCCAAATCCATCCTACCCTTCCCTACAGAGAGCCCCAAAATGGCCTAGTCAGATGCCAATCAAATGCTTCTTGTTGGGGTTTGGATAATCTGGAAACTGATTTAAAACAGAGGATTGCATTATGGAAAGATGGCAGCTGTGGTGGCAGCATAGTTTTTCCACCTTCCAAGATCCTCACATTAAAACAGATGGCAAAACCAAAACCAATGGACATTTGCAACAAAACTAAATGACAAAATATTCCCATTAACCTCAAAATAAAAGTGGATGAGGATAAACCACCAACAGTCACACAATGTATGTGTTACTGGCATCTGCAGAGGAGAAAGCAGAGAAAGCAATGGGATATCTTATGGGGACCTCAGATTAGGATAACCCCCAAATACCAAACAAAGATTCACTGGAAACTGCAGTGAGCCAAATCAACACAGAATATAAAACTGTGAAGAATTTTGCCCAGTCCCATAGAGGGTGAAACTAACAAGCCTACAATTAAGCATGAGTCTTTTGCACTTTGGACTCTATGCACTCTCAAAAATAACCCATTAGGGCTTCCATCAAAGACAAGTCCCCATACTGAGAAGAAACATCTGAGAGAAATAAAAACGAGCAGCACAGAGACACCTGAAATGAAGAAATGTGAAGGTTTGGATAAAAGTCAGGGAGAACAACAAAACCAAGAAATCTCAGAAAGCTATCTGCACCAAGCCTTTTTCTGTGATTTCAGGGAAACTAAATATTCCTAACTATGAGAAAGGGGAAAGTACCAAGTTCTGTATTTACAGAAAGTCATTATAAGATAATATGATGCAAATTAATGTGTATGTTTGAAGGATCCTTGAGGTGTCACCTTTCTGGCTGGATACCTCTGTGGCTGGTGGTGTGTTTGCCCAAGTTTTGTTTGGGCCTGCTGGGCTTGTTCTGCCCACTTGGCCTGGCAGGCTGCATTCGGCTCATGCTACCAGTCTGGATCCCATGCCTGCCAAGGGTGAGCCAGGCAGGGAGCAGTGAGGGGTAGTGTGAGTGAGTGAGCATGGTGTTTGACCACTGTTCACAGTCAGGCACACTGGCAGCTGCAGCAGGGCATGCAGCTCTAGGTGCCAGCATGGGTGCCAGCTCTCTGTGAGGCTGTGGCTAGACCAGGTACACCACAAGCAGCTTCCACAGCTGCCACCAGGGAATGTGGTGACGCCCAGAAGCTTGGAGACTCCAGGAACTGCAGGGTCCAAAAGAGAGAGTCACAACCCTGGCTCAGGGAGCTCCCAGGTCTAGCTCACCAAAGGGCCACAGCTCTTCTCTCCTCTTCACCTGCTTGTGTCACAGCTCTTTCAGCCCTGCCATTCTATAGGTCCTGAGTTCTTGTCCTGCATACAGGAAGAATGAGGTACACAGACAAGCAGAGGGTGAGCAAGGCAAAGAGGAGCTTTACTGAGTGTCAGAATAGCTCAGAGGAAGCCTTGGAGTGGGTACCTTTTCTCTGCAGACAGGTTGTCCCACTGTCTCTGCAGCTCTCATCAAAGAGGAGGCCCTGGAGTGGGTAGCTCCTCTCTGCAGCTGGTCATCCTGATGTCTGCTGCTCTCAGCAGAGAGGAGGCCCTGGAATGAGTAGCTCCTTTCTGCAGCTGGTCATCCAGATATCTGCTTAGTTCTGGCTGAGCGCAGGGCTTTTATGGGCCTCAGAGGAGAGAAAGTATGTGCTGATTGGTCCATGGGTAGCCGTGGGTGGCCTGGAAAAGGAACCACAAGTTCCCACTCCTGTCTGCAGGACTGGCAGCCTGGCCCCCAGCCTTCAGGCCCTCCATGGCCTGAAGGTGGGGCCTCATTGCCCTTTTCCAGCCAGGACCCTGTCTACCTCCTGCTGCCATTCATGGCCCCCAGGCTATAGGTGCCAAGGGGTGCCTGCAGGCCAGCACCAAGCTACCCTCAGTTCCTCCATCAGCTTCCCTCCTATGCTCATCAGCACCCAAAGTCCAGAAGGGGCCAAGGCAGCAGGGGGCTGTCCTGTCAGCACTCCTTGACCATGTGCACACCCAGCTGGGCTGTGACAGCACCTGGGCTCAGCTCCGACTTTGCTCCAAGATCAAAGTAGGTGCTGACAGCAGGGAGAAGGCAGACAGCGGGAGCAGGCATTTCTGAGCCTGTGAGGGCAAGGGGGGCCTTCCCAGCCCCCGCAAAGTGCAACGATGCTTGGGTGTGCAACCACAGTTTGGGTAGCTGCCACTGCTCCCAGGATCAGGGGTCCTGCTCTGTGGAGCAAGAGACCTGGGTCTGCAGCCACAACTTGGAAGGCTGCAGCTATGTCCAGGATGGCCAGGCATCTGTCTGCTCCCAGAATCCCCAAGAGCACAGGGAGGCCTGTAGCTGACCCCTGGGAGCTCCTGCCCCACCAACTTGGAAGGGACAGGGCTCCCACTTTTCCCTGGCTCCCACTGGCTCTGTGGCATGTGCAGCCCTGGCCACACCTTTCCACTGCAGCTGGCATAATGGCAGTAGCCGCTCCAGATGGGCCACTACTGTTATCATATGCATTACCCCACATATGTTAATTTGCTTCATATTGTCTTGTAGTGACTCTCATGTTGTACATGATTACATATAGACAAATTTATCTGTCTATTTAACAAATAAGATTAAACTAAAATTTTAACAGAATATGAAGCAGAATAACATCCTTCAGGCAATAAAATTATGCCACAAAAATATGCTCAAATATAGATTAAAATGGCAGCATACATTCCAAAATTAGTTAAAATGTATTAATAAAATGATACAATATATGAAATAAATTAGAAAAACTCAGAAATTAGGTGACAGAACTCAAGAAGAAATTAGAAATTTTAAAAAGCTTTTGAAATAAAGATCAAACACCAAAATGAATGTACACAGAAATAGTGGCTTCAGAGAAATATGCAGTAAAAAGAAATTTCAGAATCAAAAAGAAATGAAAGAAAATGGTTCTGAAAGTGGCACATTTTGAATATAGGCAAAGAGAATCCTCTTACAGATAATAAGTGACCTAAAGAAGAAAACCAAAGCAAAGGAACTAAATACTAAACTAAAAGCAACAATTAAAAAAAAATCTCTTGCAAATTAAAGTATTTTTAAAATTTTGAAACTACACTTTAAAACTTCATACTGCATACCCCAAAATATTGAAACAAAATGACCTACACCAAGATATATCTAGAAAACATGCTTCAGACAACCAAAATGACTAGAGAAAGATCAACAAAAAGACTGGTGGTGAGCATTAAATATGAAGCTAGTGGTGTAAATAAGATTGAGAATTTAAGAGTATTTAATGTAATGGCTATGTGCTCTGTCAATGTAATAATAGTACAACTGGAACACATAGGGGAAAAATAGAGAGGGCATATGCAAAAGAACACAACAGATTTCAAAGATTTAATAAAAATAAAGAAAATATTTCATTAACAACTTTACATTGATTACATGTTGAAATGATAGTATTTTGTGAGGTGTTGGGTTAATGAAATATGTATATAATATACTAGAATTAATTTTACAAGTTTCTTTAAACTTTTCTGACATGGCTACAAAAGTATTTACAGGCCGGGCATGGTGGCTCATGTCTGTAATCCCAGCACTTAGGGAGGCCAAAGCAGCCAGGAGTTTGAGACCAGCCTGGTCAACACAGTGAAACCCTGTCTCTAACAAAAAATATAAAAATTAGCCGAGTGTGGTGGCATGCACCTGTGGTCCCAGCTACTCAGGAGGCTGAGGCATAAGAATTGCTTGAACCCAGGAGGTGGAAGTTGCAGTGAGCCAAGATGGCACCACTGCACTCAAGCCTAGGTGATGGAGTGAGACCTCGTGTCAATATATATATATATATATTTATATTTATATATATATGGTTCATTTTAATTGAGTTAATATATTACCATTTTAGAACCCTCAAAGACTTAATGGATCTAATCACTGAGCATCAATAGCTGCTAACATAAAGACAGAGTGAATTTTATGTTTTCTACTTGTCTCTGATGAAAGAACCCAGCACCATTTATTGTGTTGCCAAAGGGGTGCAACCAGTGTCTGATCAAATCTCTAGATCTAGAAGCCCATCTGCAGGATAAAGGAACACACTGAACTGAACTGTAGGTGAAATAATACTCAAAGTTATAACTGCAACATTGAGGGCTACAAGGAACATTTCCTACCCCTCAATTCACTTTTTTCATACAGGAGAAATTACTGTAGTTCTTAAAATACGTGAAATAAATAGTATAAGAAAGTATAACTAAAACCTTAATGTAAGAGAAAAGAATTAAATTGTAAAAATATCTCATAATTCCAAAATAAGGCAAGAAAAAGGGAACAGAGAAACAAGGAATACCTGGGGCAAATAAAAAACAAATCGAAAGATAATTTTAAAAACCCAACTGAAGTAGGAGGCAGGACTCAACTCCGGAGGTGGGGCTCAGACACCAGACCAACTTGAGGACTAGTTAAATTAGGGCCCTGGTGGAAGCAGCTTTCAATCAGACCCAACCGCCAGCGAGCCATGTCAATTTACTATCGCCATGGCAACACCTGGGAGTTACCGCCCCTTTCCATGGCAATGACCCAAAGTTACTACCCTTCCCTGGAAATTTCTGCATAAAATACCTTTTAATCTGCATGCCATTAAAAGTGGGTATAAATATGACTGCAAAACTGCTCTAAGCTGCTACTGTCTGACTACAGGGTAGCCCTGCTCTGCAGGAGCAGCCATGGAGCTGTAACAACGTCTCTTCAATAAAGCTGCTTTCTTCCACCTCTAACTTGCCCATGAATTCCTTCCTGGGCAAAGCCAAGAACCATCACAGGTAAACTCCACTTTGAGGCTTGTCTGCCCTGCATCACAGCTATATCACTAATAACATTGAATATAAATGAATTAAACAATCCAAATAAAAGATTAATATTGTTTTTTGGTAAAAAGACAATTAAATGCAGTTTACAAGAGATAGTCATTTAAGGACTCACTTAGGATAAAAAGCTACAGCACATAAATACTAACCAAAAGAACACCAGCATTACTGATAGCAATATAGAATACTGATATTAATATCAAAGAAGAGTTTGAAAAAGAAATATATAGCACACAAATACTAATAAAAATACTGGTATTACTGATAGTAATACAGAATATTGATATTAATATCAGTAAAGAAGAGTTTAAAAAATTACTGAGACATATATGCCCACCAAAGACATGTACAAAAATATTTAGAGCAATTCATTTCATAATAGCAAAAATTAAAAACAATGCAAGTATTCATCAACAATGGAAAAAGTTGTTATAATGTATGCTCTTTTCACTCCCTCTTCCAATCACCACCACCCCCAGTGTGATCATTATCTTGATCTCTGAAACTATAGATCAGTTTTCCCTGTCTTTGAAATTTCTATAAATGAAACCATACAGCATGTAGTATTTTGTGTCTTCCTTTTTTCACTCTACATTTTGGGAGATTCTTTGACATTATTGTATATAATTATAGTTCATTATCATTTCTGTATATCACTTAATTACATGACTATTCCACATTTATGTTCCATGCCACTGTTAGTTGCCTCAGTTTCCTCATATGTAAAATACTGATAATAATACCAACTTATGAAGTTAAATGAACTAATATTTGTGAAGCAATTCTTACACTACTTGTCATATAGCAAGCTCTATGTAAATATTTGACTAAAATATATGGTATATGTGTCATTTGGACTTATATATTTTCTTCATCAATAACAAACCTTCATGTTGTGCACATGTACCCTAAAACTTAAAGTATAATAATAATAAAAAAGTAAATAAATAAATTAAATTAACTAAAAGAAAAAAGTAAAAAAAAAAAAAAGAAAAGGACAAATCCTTTTTAAATATTTAAGTTCCCATTAATCCTATAGTGTTATGTATCTTATTCACAAATTAATTCACTTAAAAACATAAAACACAATGTATTTCAGACTCTATACTATCTCTCAGGGAATCTGGGACACCATGTGGACAAGTATTTACAATATAATAATTGCTATGTTATACAAACTAGATTAATCCATGGTTTACCTTGGTCTTTAGACCATTTTATTTTAATTTTCTCTCTTAGTGCCAAGGATAACTTATAATGAGAATTTAATAACTCCAACAAAGTATGTTTTTATTGGCCATGAGGATGCAACAGGAAGTGAGGAAACCATTGAAAGCATCCTTGATAGATATGAAAATGTTTTGATCCTCTTTATGGATTATGACAGGCTGCTAGGGACCCCCTTTGTGATGGACATGCGATAGATAAACAGAAATGCTTCCCTCTTGAAAGATGTCTGTACAATCTAATACAATTAATCTTGCTGGAGTGAGTCAGCTCTAATGGTGCTGCCTGGCATAGGCCATTCATCAAAGCTCACCAATCCATCACACAGAACCAGCTACACTGGGTGGCAGGCCTGCCACTCCTGCCACATGCCTAGATTCCTGGAAATCTATGTGAGGCAGAGCATGCCCTGTGAAGTTATTTATGTTTGTCTTAAAAAAGGGAATCTGAAGCTATTCTTATTCAATGCTACTGATTCTAATGAAGATGTCAACGAAAAACTACCTTCCCTCCTGACAGAAAGCTCATCTATTTTGACAAATAAAAGTCTGGCAATGTGTCCTCCTCTCAAACTCAAAAGTCTAGGCATGACAGATCATCCTTGTCAGCATAAGCACATTTTCTAATATCACTCATTTAAAAAAATAATAAAACTTTCACTAGAGATGACAGCCTCCTACAACTACTGCCCATTTTCTGATCCCTATTTTTAAAAACATTTCTTTACTTTTCATCTCTTCTTGAATATTCTGTCGTAGGACTTCTAGTTCTTTGTTGAAATCATTCATGTTGGCTCACTAATGACACCCTTCTTGCCATGCTCAATAACTAAACTTTAGTTCTCTCTCTCTCTCATCACTTCTTTCACTTCTCTTCTCTTCAACTGGTTCTCCTCTGATTTCTAAATCTTCTTTGCTGGTTTCTGTCTTTTTAGTGGTTGGATGTTGGTATGCTCCAGAACTCAGCCCTCAGCCTCTTCTCTTCTCTATACTTACTCCTTTGGTCATCTAATCTTGTCCAATGGCTTTAAATACTAGTATTGTGCAACAGATTCCACAATTTGATAACTGTAGCCTGGACCTCTCCCAAACTCCACATTTTTATATTCAACTGCCTATTTGATGACTCTATTTGAATATCTAAGAGGCATCTAAGTGTAACACATTCAAACTAGAACTCTTGGTTTCCCCCCAAAACATGATTATCTCCTAGTCTTTACCATCTTGGCAAATGTTACATATCCTGACGCAAATGTCGAAAACCTTATAGTCACATTTCAACCTTCTCTTATCCTCACTGCACTTCCTATAAAATCAACCAAAAGTCTTGTTGACTTAAACTTCAAAATATATTCCATGTTTGGCTACTTCTCACCACTTCTACTACTACTTCCCTGATCCCAGCCATTATCACCTCTCACTTTGACAATTCAAGAGACCCCTAACTGGTCTCCCTGCATTCTCTCTTGCCTTTCTTCAGTGTATTCTTTATTGATATACACTTTTTGAAAGTATATATCATGACTTTTCCTTGCTTAAACATTTTAATGGTTCCTTGTTGCATGAGAATCAGTTTCAGACTCTTCACTGTGGCCCTCAGGGACCTGTGTGATATGTGCATATCTCTTTAACATCATCTCTTTCCACTTCTCTCACTCCTCTTCAGTGCCACTGGCCTCCTTGCTAATCCTGAAATTTTTCTGCCCTCCAACTTTGTTCTCACTGAATTTTCTTTGGACATACTTCCCTCAGAGCTGCAACATGAATTTCTTCTCACTTTAATTATCTGATCAAATTTCACTTTTTACAGAAGACTTCCCTAATCACATTCCTTTCTCCTATCATTCTCTATGCCATTACCATGTTTTTTTTTCTTGAAAGCATTTACCTGCCATTTATATTACATTTTTATATTTATTTTATTGTTTATTATCTATCTACCCCAATAAAATGTATGTCCTATGAGAATGGGAGCTCAACCTCTTTTATTCACCTTTATTTCCCCAGTTTTTAGAAGACTGCCTGGTGCATTTTAGGTGCTCAATAAATAATGTTGAATGAGTGGGGTTTAAAAAAATAGATTTAGGGGTACAAATGCAGTTTTGTTACATGGATATATTGCTTGGTGCTGAAGTCTGGGCTTTTAGGGTACCCATCACTGTAGTAGTATCCATCGTACCCAGTAGGTAATTTTTCATCACTCATTCCCCCTCCCCATCCCGTCTTTTAGAGTCTCTAAATTGTCTATCATTGCACTCTCTCAGTTCATGCAACCCATTGTTTAGCTTCCAGTTATAAGTGAGAACATGCAATATTTGACTTTGTTTATGAGTTATTTCACTTAGAATAATGGTCCCAAGTTCCATCTAAGTTTTTGCAAATCACATTTCATTCTTTATGGCTGAGTAGTATTCCATGGTGAATATATACCGCATTTTCTTCATCCAATCATCTGTTGATGGACATTTCAGTTGATTCCATGACTTTGCTATTGTGAATAGTGCAGTAAACATACGAGTGCAGATGTTTTTTTGAATGAGTGGATTTTTAAAATGAAAGCATAGGGATAAATATGCTAATAAGGTTTCTCTTTTTTTGAAAGAGGCATAATCAGTTTTATTCATATGGATCTGGTAGTTAAGGGAAAATAAAATATAAAGCATACTACATAAATTATTATAAGTGGGAAGACAAGTATATGCAGCACAATTGGCCAGGTCATTTATTATTATTTTTTTTTAGAAGAAGCTAACAAAAGGTGTTTTTTTTTTTAATTCACTTTTATTTTAGGTTCAGGGGTACATGGCGGGTTTGTTATGCAGGAAAATTGCCTGTTATGGGAGTTTGTTATACAGATTGTTTCATCACCCAGGTAATCAGCACAGTTCCCAGTAGGAAGTTTTGTAATCTTCTTCCTCCTCTCAACCTCCACTCTCAAGTAGGCCCCAGTGTCTGTTGTTCCCTTCTTTGTGTCCATATGTACTCAATGCTTAGCTCCCACTTATAAGTGAGAACATGAGATATTTGGTTTTCTGTTCCTGTGTTAGTTTGCTTGGGCTAATGGCCCCAGTTCCATCCCTGTTGCTGCAAAGAACATGATCTCATTCATTTTTATGTCTGTGTAGTATTCCATGGTGTATATATACAACATTTTCTTCATACGATCTACCATTGATGGGCATCTATGTTGATTTCATGTGTTTCCTATTGTTAATAGTGCTGCAGTGAACATAAGGGTACATGCGTCTTTTTGGTAAAATGATTCATTTTCCTTTGGGAATATACTCAATAATGGAATTGCTGAGTCAAATGGTATCTCTGTTTTCAGTTCTTTGAGAACTCGCCAAACTGCTTTCTACAATGGCTGAGCCATTAATAATTTACGTTTCCACCAGCAGTGTATAAGTGTTTCTTTTTCTCTGCAAACTCACTTGCATCTGTTATTTTTTGACTTTTTAATTATAGCCATTCTGACTAGTGTGAGATGGTATGTCATTGTGGTTTGATTTGCATTTCTCTAATGATTAGTGATGTTGAATATTTCTTCATATGCTTGTAGGGCCCATGTATGTCTTCTTTTGAAAACTCTCTTTTCAAGTCCTTTGCCCACTTTTTAATGGTGTTTTTTTCCTGTAATTTTGTTTAAGTTCCTTATAAATGCTGAATATTAGACCTTTGTCAGATGCATAGTTTGCAAATATTTTCTCCCATTCTTTAGGTTGCCTATTTGTTGATAGTTTCTTTGGCTGTGCAGAAACTCTTTACTTTAATCAGGTCCCACATATCAATTTTTGTTTTTGTTGTAATTGCTTTTGGCGTCTTCATCATGAAATCTTTGCCGGGTCCTATGTCCAGAATGGTATATCCTAGGTTACCTTCCAGAGTTTTTATACTTTTAGGGTTTACATTTGGGTCTCAATCCATCTTGAGTTGATTTTTGCATATGGTATAAAGAAGGGGTCTAGTTTCAGTCTCCGAGTTCCTGTGGAACTCAATCATCTCAGGCGGTCTCCAGTCTGCTGCCGCTGGCCAGCTGGAATTCCAGCCAATGGGTCTTAACTTATGAGGTGCCATGGGAGCGGGGCCCGCTGAACGTGGCCTCTCGGCTCCCTGGCTTCAGCCCTCTTCCTATGGGAATGGACAGATCTCCTGCCTCACTAGAATTCCTGGGGCCGGAGTTTGCAAAAACTCCTGCATCTCCGTGCATGCCCAAGTGGCCGCTGAGAATCTACACAGCTCTCTGCCTCAGACCCAAGGCCCTGGTGGCATGGCCTCATAGCGGGTGGATTGCAAAGATCTGTGGCAGAAATGTGGTTTCCTGTGCGGGGTCACACAATCACTCAACTCCCTTGGCTGGGGATGACAGCTCCCTTTGCTCTGTGCTGCTCCTGGGTGGGCCATAGCCACACCCTACTTTTCCTCACTCTCTCTGAGTCATGCTGATCACCTAGTCAGTCCCAATGCAAGAACCTGGATGCCTAGGTTGAAGGTGTAGAATTCATTCACCATTTTGTCCTCTGTGAGAGCTGCAGACTGTAGCTGCTTCTAATTGGCCATCTTGGCCCACCCAGTATTTTTCTTTCAACTTTGAAGAATCTGATGACTGTGTGTCTTGGAGAAGGTATTCTTGTGTAGTATTTTGTAAGGGTTCTCTGTGTTTTCTGAATTTGAATGTTGGTCTTTCTAGCAAGGTTTGGGGAATTTTCATGGCGATATCCTGAAATATGTTTTCCAAGTTGTTTGCTTTCTCTTTCTTTCAGGGACACCAATAGGCCTCTCTTTTGGCATTTTTACATAATCCCTTATTTCTTAGAGGTTTTGTTTATTCTTCTTTACTGCTTTTTCTTTATATTTGTCTGACTGTGTTATTTCAGAGAGCCGGTGTTTGAGCCCTGAGATTCTTTCCTTAGCTGGTCAATTCTGCTGTTAATGCTAGCAATTGTATTCTGAAATTCTCAAAGTGAGTTTTAAATCTATCAGATGAGTTTGGTTCTTTCTTGTAATGGTCATTTGTTCATCAGCTCACGTATTGTTTTATCCTAATCCTTAGATTCCTTGGATTAGGTTTCAACTTTCTCATGAATGTCAATAATCTTCATTCCTATCCATATTCTGAATTCAATATCTGTCATTTCAGACATTTCAGCTTGGCTAAGAACCATAGCTGGGGAAGTAGTGTGGTCATTTGCAGGTAAGAAGACACTCTGGCTTTTTGAGTGGCCAGAGTTCTTGTACTGGTTCTTTCTCATCCTTATGAGGTGGGTTCAGTTGACTGGTTCCTTTCTGGAAGATTTTAGGGGCCCAGGGCTCCGCTCAGGACTCTGGGGCCATGTGCTGTAACTCTTGGGAGCTGGCATTGGGCTCCCTGCTTTGTTCTCTGGCCCCTCACAGTTAGGAACCTGCTGCACTGGGGGGGGGCTCAAGTGCTCCCAGACTGCTCATCACAACATTCCAATGGGTGGTGCCAGCCAAAGTGCTTTTTAGGCAGTGGTAGTGGGATCTGTAATCACTTGCATGTGTCAGTGCAGTGGCAGCATGGCGGAGTGCATGCTTGTGGGTTAAGGCAGGGAGCTGGTGGGTACAGTGCAGTGCCAGTCTCCTGCGGGTGTTCACAGCAGCAGTGGTGGCAGCATGGCCACTGTTCTCCACGTGCAGGTTTATGCAGGCAGCAGTATTGGCACGGGGTGGGGAACTAGTAGGTGTGGGGTTGCTGCCCTCTATGCACATGTTCATGCTGGTGGCAATGGTGGCACAGGGTGGGGAGTGGGGCCATTGTTCTCCAGGCACAGGTTTGTGCCGGTGGTATCAATGCAGGGGTAGAGCACTGGTGAAAGTGGTGCTAGAGGTCACCACATTTGCAATTGTGCCAGTGGCAATTGTGGCACAGAATGGCAGGCAGGGCTGCTGGTCTTATGTGCATCTATGTTGTCAATGGTGGCACAGCAGGGGGCAGAGTGTGCTCACACTGGCAGCCATGGCATGGTGGGGTGTATATGCAAATACCTGCCAGTGGTAGGGGAAGGGAAGGAAGGTCCACCTGATCCCACATGACCCATCAAACGATTGTGGGGGTTGGTTATGGGTGTGTGTGTACTGACAAAGCAGTATGGGGGAGGTTGCAGTTGGGGGAAGGTGCAGGCGGGCTGGTGAATGTCAGTGGGGAGGCCGTTCTGCTGGAACTCTCTGACAATTAGGCCCGGTCTACCTGTGCATGAGCTATGATGTGGGCCCCAGGGAGGCACCACAGCTTGGCATCTGAGGCTGCACTGCAAGCAGGTGTGGTCAGGCCAGGGCCCTAGGAGAGGCCAGTAGACAGGGAAGTGCTCAGGTCAGACTGGCCTCATCTCATAGGCAAGATTGCCCTGCTCTGTTCAGGTCCAATAGTTCCCCTAAGGCTAAAGTCTCCTAGGGGAGCAAGGCAAGCCTTGGGAGATGGGCATCCCTGGCTGTGCTCCACTACAGACACTCCCGCACCAAATCCTCTGGGATCTGTGCCAGCTGGAGTTCTGCCCCTACCACCTCTCTAAGCTGCTCTCTCCACCAGTTCAAGTGTCTGTGGGGGTCATGGGGTCTTCTGCCGCCAAGATTCCTGAGACCAGTGGTGAGAGGAGGTTGCTCCACACCTGCTTAACTCACCCCTTCCCCAGGACTTGCTTGGGGCCAGGAATGAGTCTCAGTGCATGGTAGTCCTGGGCAGGGTTCCCAGCTTTCTCCCCCTTCAACCCAGTATCTCTGTCCTCCCTCTGTCTGCTCTCAATGCCTTCCCTCTGAAGATCTGCTTGGAGTGCGCCAGTCTTACTGATGTTCTGGTCACTTGGTGGCAGATGTTCCTCCTGGCTGTATTTAGTTGGCTATGTTGCCTCCAAGCCTAAGGTCTCTTCTTATTCTTAGTTGTGGTTCTGAATCATTAAGTATTGTCTCTATAAAAACTGTTATTGTGTCTCAACTTCCTATGAAGTAGATGTTTGGAAGAATACAGGCAAATGGCAAAGGAATTTTGTGACGAATAGATTGTGAGGAAGCCAATACAGGGAAAACTGAAATGCAGGGGAGATATGAAATTCTCAGAAATGTAGTGAAGGTAACAAGAAAAAATAAGCTTCAATGTGGATAATCAAATGTTTATAATATAGATTTAGTAATCACCTTTCTCGTATATGGCTTCCTAAGCCAGATAAATACACCACTCTCCCCTGGACCTATAAAGTCAAGCTATCAAAATACACAATGATAGTTTCAACAATTATTCCAAATCCCTCCAGCCCTGCCATCTGTTTTTCACTGTTTTCTAAGCCATATGCACCTCTGAACTCCTGGCTTTAGAACCCTAGCCTCAAGTCTTACTTCTGCACCACTACCATTGACGTTTGACCTCACTCACATTCCTGACTTGACTTACAACTCCAGCTTCCTCCAGCCCTTGACCTTCAGTGAGACTCTTCTTGCTCTACCATTTGCCTCAAGAAACCAAAACTGGGGCCCAAAGAGCCACTAGCTCCCTGGACTAGCTCTGATTCCCTTGAGAGAGGGTGATTCCGATTAGAAAAACCAAACTTTTATATCAAAGGAATTTGAATTCTAAGTGAATCTCTGTAATAAATTTAGAAAGTAATGATCAGTGGATTTAGTTCCACTCCAGGCCTCTCTGCATTCTTTACATAATATATTAATTAATTAAATGAAAGAATGCATTTTAAGTGCTTAGCTCACTATTTAGCACTTACTGTGATTATTAGTATATTATTATAAACTGCCTTAGGAACAGAAGTAATCAGGTTCAACTGATGGATTTAATCGCATTTTCGAAGTGTGTTAAATAAGTCTGTTTTAAAATTTTAATTGCTAGTTACTTTTCACAAAGTTGATCCTTTCTTTTTCCTGAAGATACCACTAAATTTTTCTTTTTACATATCCATTTAGCTTAAATACTTAATTGCATTTTAAAGGATTCTTTAAATTAATATTTGGAGTATTTCTAAGTTTTAAAACTGCTCAAATTCTTATTTTTTCTTTTTTTTTTTTTTTTTTTTTTAGTATTTATTGATTATTCTTGGGTGTTTCTCGGAGAGAGGGATTTGGCAGGGTCATAGGACAATAGTGGAGAGAAGGTCAGCAGATAAACATGTGAACAAAGTTCTCTGGTTTTCCTAGGCAGAGGACCCTGCAGCCTTCCGCAGTGTTTGTGTCCCTGGGTACTTGAGATTAGGGAGTGGTGATGACTCTTAACCAGCATGCTGCCTTCAAGCATCTGTTTAACAAAGCACATCTTGCACTGCCCTTAATCCATTTAACCCTGAGTTGACACAGCACAGTTGCAGAGAGCACGGGGTTGGGGGTAAGGTTACAGATTAACAGCATCCCAAGGCAGAAGAATTTTTCTTAGTACAGAACAAAATGGAGTCTCCTATGTCTACTTCTTTCTACACAGACACAGTAACAATCTGATCTCTCTTTTCCCCACATTTCCCCCTTTTCTATTCGACAAAACCGCCATCGTCATCATGGCCCGTTCTCAATGAGCTGTTGGGTACACCTCCCAGAAGGGGTGGCCGCCGGGCAGAGGGGCTCCTCACTTCCCAGACGTGGCGGCCGGGCAGAGGGGCCCCTCACCCCCCAGACGGGCGGCTGGGCGGAGGCGCCCCCCTACCTCCCAGAGGGGGTGGCTGCCGGGCGGGGGCGCCCCCAACCTCCCAGAGGGGGCGAACAGGCAGAGACACTCCTCACTTCCCAGACGGGGTGGCTGCTGGGCGGAGGGGCTCCCCACTTCCCAGACAGGGTGGCCGGGCAGAGGTGCTCCTCAGTTCCCAGACGGGGTGGCGGCCAGATAGAGACGCTCCTCACCTCCCAGATGGGGTGGCGGCCGGGTAGAGACGCTCCTCACCTCCCAGACGGGGTGGCGGCCAGGTAGAGACGCTCCTCACCTCCCAGATGGGGTGGCGGCCGGGTAGAGACGCTCCTCACCTCCCAGACGGGGTGGCGGCCGGGCAGAGGCGCTCCTCACTTCCCAGACTGGGTGGTGGCTGGGTAGAGATGCTCCTCATCTCCCAGACAGGGCGGCCGGGCAGAGGCGCTCCCCACATCCCAGATGATGGGTGGCCAGGCAGAGACGTTCCTCACTTCCTAGACGGGATGATGGCCCGGGAAGAGGCGCTCCTCACTTCCCAGACTGGGCAGCCAGGCAGAGGGGCTCCTCGCATCCCAGATGATGGGCGGCCAGGCAGAGATGTTCCTCACTTCCTAGACGGGATGGCGGCCGGGAAGAGGCGCTCCTCACTTCCCAGACTGGGCACCGGGCAGAGGGGCTCCTCACATCCCAGACAATAGGCGGCCAGGCAGAGATGCTCCTCACTTCCTAGACGGGGTGGCAGCCGGGCAGAGGCTGCAATCTCAGCACTTTGGGAGGCCAGGGCAGGTGGCTGGGAGGTGGAGGTTTTAGCGAGCCGAGATCACGCCACTGCACTCCAACCTGGGCAACATTGAGCACTGAGTAAGCGAGACTCCCGTCTGCAATCCCGGCACCTCGGGAGGCCGAGGCGGGCAGATCACTCGAGGTCAGGAGCTGAGACCAGCCCAGCCAACACCGCGAAACCCCGTCTCCACCAAAAAATACAAAAACCAGTCAGGCGTGGCGGTGGGCGCCTGCAATCCCAGGCACTCGGCAGGCTGAGGCAGGAGAATCAGGCAGGGAGGCTGCAGTGAGCCGAGATTGCGGCAGTACAGTCCTGCCTCGGCAACAGAGGGAGACCGTGGAAAGCGGGAGACGGAGACGGGGAGGGGGAGGGGGAGGGGGAGAGGGAGAGTGAGACTCAAATTCTTATTTTCAAGAGCTATAATAAAATGCTTACATTTTAGTTTACTTAGTAGTAAACTAGTTAATTTTAAAAATTTTATCTTGGAAACATAGTGATGGGAACATTAACATTTACTCCAATTTCAGTTTCCCAAATACTGTTTTACCAAGAATCAGATAACAAATAAATACTAAGTGAAAAAGACAATAGGCAAAGTACTAAATGAAAAATTGGGCAATGTATCTTTCATTCAGTTAACAGACATACTGATGCCTATGGCTTAGTATTACTGGAAGTAGCCCAATGAAGCGGACTGGTGGGACTGTTACAGGCAGTTAGGCATGAGCAGGGCAGGAGAGGGCTCTCCCTGCCCCACCCACTAGAAAAGTCAGGTGATGGTTTGGCAATTATCGCAATGCCTCTCTAAAAGCGATAACTTGGCAGCCAGAGCCAGGGAGAGGCCAGTTCCTGATGGTCCACCCCTGTTAACATTGAAGTGTTAATTAAAGGCTGACCCCAGGGAGAAGTAACTTCCTGGTCATGCACCTTAAGATACAAAAATGGCATAGTATGATCTTCCGTGTACACTCCATTGGAAAAAGGAAGAAAGCCTCAGTTGGGCATGCCTATAACTCTCTAAACACACTGCGCATGCTCAATTCCCAAGGGTAAGGAGAACCCTGCACATGCGGAAAGCCCACCCTAAGGGAAGAATCATGGGAAAGAGGCCAGCCCATAAAGTCCCAGGATCGAGGTTAAAGGCCCTTTTTATTTCCTCTTTGATATTCATGTACCCTCTTGTATCTCTTCCAAGTTAACTTTCCTTTCTTTCCTGTTCTAAGGCCTTTTAAATAAACTTCCACTCCTGCTCTGAAACTTGCTTCGATCTCTTTTTCTGTTTTATGCCCCTCAGTTGAATTCTTTCTTCTGAGGAGGCAAGAATTGAAGTTGCTGCAGACACATATGGATTTGCCACTGGTAACTGGAGGTACCTTGAATCTCTTCAACTGCTAACACATCAGTAAACTTGTTTTATTTAAAAGACAGTAAACATACAATAAATGCAGTGGTGATTAAGACACAAAAGAGATTGCTCTCATGGAGTTTATGGTTTAGTGGTGAGGGAAGGGGTAGAGAACATGCAAGTTCAAAAAATGAACGAGATAATTTGAAAGATTCAATTACTTCCTAATCCTCTATCTTTCAAGCATTATTGGTGTAAGCGCATATGTGGGGGATGGACATGAATCCCATATGACAATTTTGTCAAGATCTTTTCAAGATAATTGAGGAAAGGGAGCACCCTTCCTCATCTTCATTTTTTAAAATATTATTTGCAGCTGTGCAGGATACAAATAACCGTCCAGTTGGCCCTTTTCCAATTGAGAACATGTTATGAAAGTCAGTGAAAGGGTCCTGAGGTCTTCAAAACCTGGGGACATCTTTCTTGATGGGTTGTGCTCTAAGGTTTTCTCTCTACCATGTATGCATCTGAGGAAGCCTTTCATCAATCTCAGACCACTACCCAGAAATTTCAAACTTGACCCAACTCCGGAAAATCACTTGGGTAACCGAAAGAAGCATTTAACCTCCAGGGTTAGTTCATGACTAGAGGAGATCCCATTCTTGACTATGTCCAGTAAGCAGTGGGCTTCCTTAAACTATCCAAAGCCTAATTCTTATCTCTAATGAGAAGTAGCTCAAGGGAACCCTAAGCTCCTCTCCTTCCTGAAAAGCATTGCACAGGTTAGACATAAACCAGCCTGATGGCTGTGATATGAATGCTGTAACTACCATATAGCCAATAGGTCTACTGCATTCCTGATGTTTTCTATTCCAGACTAACAACTGAACCCCAAAGTGGATAATAAAATCCCTAAAATATTTGGGATAAAATATCTTCTCTTGTTCATACAATCCTTTTTTCCAAATCTCATAGATAAGTAGTGTATTAAGATGGAATGAGACAGAAAACACAGTAATTTGAACAGGGAATTTTAATATAAAGATTATGAACAGAATTAACTATAGAGGACTAAGGAGGACCAGGGCAGAGGAAGAATGTCCAATGAAGAAATACATTTGGAAGTTCCTTTCTCTAAGTCTGGGGTTCAGACTTCATTGGAAAAGACATTGTTGGTACCCTTTGGGTGGCAGAGAAGTTCACTGGGTTTCCCCAGGCCAGACTAATTCACAATTGCTGGGTAATCAAGAAATGCCCCTCCATAGTACAAGTGAGTTGAAGCAGGCAGACACAATTGCAGCTAGACCTGGCAAGCCAGAAATGCACTTCCAAAGTGCAGGTGGACTGAAACTGGTAGGCAGGGAACTAGAGCTGGAACTAGCTGAAACTAACAAGAAGGATATCCCCCTCCAAGGTGCAGGTGGGCCACAGCTATGGAGCTGACTGCTGTAGTGCTTACAAGACTCTCTAGGAATGCATTCATGGCGGTATGAATGGAACTTGACAGGAAGCCATCCACAGAATTACCACTTAAACTCGAAGGGGATGAGTACTACTAGATGCCTCTCACGTGTGTCACTGGCAAACAAGCATGAGGAGCAAGAAGCAGCATCAAGAAACACATTGGAATAGCAGAGAAAAGCCCCTTCTTCCTCACTGTTCCTCCAGTGCCCTCTATTGACAATGTTTAACATCATGCCAACTACAAAGGATAAATGCTTATAGGTTCCATCTCCATTATTGAAAAGCATGTAGTGATAGGTGGATTTGGACCTGAAAGGTCCAGACTACCTCTTTGGCTACTCAGTTTCCATATGCACCTTTCTAACACATTTGAGCTTCCATACCACATTAAAATAACCCTAAATTTCCATCTAACAAGATTCAACTATTTTACTTACAAGTGATGCAGTTCTTACCCTTTCCCCAAAATGAGGAGAGACATAGTCCCAGCAGTCATTGTATCTACTGCCTACTATACTAGTTATTCCTCAAGTTCCTCCATAGCTCTACTGAATATGCTGTCACTTACAGACTAAGTTATAAAGTTAATCTCCACCGACTAGTATATAAAAGTAAATGGAAAGAAGAAAGCAAAAAGAAAGTTAATATATGCAAATATTAGAAACAAAAAGCATATATGCAAAATTACTATGGTCCTTGTTTCTGCACTTGTACAGTTGACCTTTGAACAACAAAGAGGTTAGAGGTGCCAACCCTCCACCATGCAATCAAAAATCGACTCTAACCTTTAACTTCCCCAAAACTTAGCTACTAATAGCCTTCTGTTGACTGGAATGCTTACCAATAACATTAACAGTTATGTAACGTATATTTTGTATGTTATATGTATTATATACTGCATTCTCACAATAAAGTAAGCTAGAGAAAATAAAATGTTAATAAGAAAATCATAAGAAAGAGAAAATATATTTAAGCGAAAGTGAATCATGAAGTCTTCATCCTTATCATCTTCATGTTGAGTAGGCTGAGGAGGAGGAATAGGAGGGGTTGGTCTTGCTGTCTCAGGGGTGGCAGTGGCAGAAGAAAATCTATGTACAAGTGGACCCACACAGTTCAAACCTATGTTATTCAAGGGTCTACTTTAGTTGATATCTAAGACTTCCTTTCTCCACTAGCCATATCGTATTTGCTTTGCCCTTAGCCAGAATCTCAGCTGGTTGACGATTCTTTACCTGGTGGAATAACCCAAATGTTCATTCCCGAAGTGTCTGAGTCCTCAGTTACCCTGCCTTTTTTTGTTGTTGTTTTTTAGTTGCTATACTTCTCTGCTGACTTTTGCCATTGAGCATGAATATATTAGGAGACACCACAGAGAATCTACCATATTTCAAACATGGTCCTCCTTACCTCCATTGTGTAACAGCAGCCCAGTTTCTCCTTGATTATTGGAATTGATCATTCCAACCAGAAAAAGTAACTTCTTTTTCTTTTGATATGTTTTTTCAGTGGCATAAGAAGCCCAAAATGACTAGTTGGCAGTCTCATCTCCCCATTCAATGGAATCATTATTGTTTCCACTGATGGAAGTATCTTCCATGCCTCATTCCCTTTAGTGACCAGCATCCATAAACAACCGAAATGCAAAGTTGCAGGACAGGAAGCAAAAATTCTGTGAGTAGGGTATTATGTGATATTTTGAGAAGAACATTGCCAATCCTACCCTTTGATTTCCAGACCCTTGTATTCTGGCTATAGAAAAGGCATCCTCATATAATGATCTCTAACACAAAGCATATACTAAGTACATCCTGTAAAATGGAACCTCATTTCTGTATTATCTCTCAACTGACACTATACCTGACTGCTTTAGTAAGCCATTCCATCTTTAAATTGGTCCAGCCACTTCTGAGTGATGGGGGATGTGGTAAGGTTAGTTAATTCCATCAGTATGAGCCCATTGCTACATTTCTTTTGCTTTGAAATGAGTTCCTTGATCACACACAATTATACATGGAATGCCATAAAAAGGATAAATTATTCTGTGAGTTCAATGCTGGCAGAAGCATTAAAGGTGGGAAAGGTAAATCTGTATCAAAAATATGTCTATTCCAAGAGACAAATACCTTCCCCCTTTATGATGGAAGACATCCAATGTAATTAATCTGACACCATTTCCTGGTACTCTCAGGAGTTGTTAGCAGATTAGGCACTCAGCAGTAGTGCAGCCAGGTCACCCTTGGTAAGTGCACACCATGATGTTGAGCCCATGCACACCTCCATCACTGACATCATGGCCACTTTGCTCATAGGCTCATTGTACAAGCAGTGGGCTAGCTGGGGAAATCTAGATGACTGACCACTAGAGAACATGTCATCTTATCCTCCTGACTATTAAAATAGACATCCCTTGGTGGGCATTAATATAGAAAACAAATATCTTCACAGTTTGTGTCCATTATAAGAGGTCCATTCACAAACATTTTTTTTTTCCGAGACAGAGTCTTGCTCTGTCACCCAGGCTGGAGTGTAGTGGCACTATCTTGGCTCACTGCAACCTCCGCCTTCCGGGTTCAAGCGATTCTCATCCCTTAGCTTCCTGAGTAGCTGGGACAGGCACACACCACCATACCTGGCTAATTTTAGTATTTTTCTTTAGTAGGATGGGCTTTTGCCACGTTGGCCGGCTGGTCTTGAATTCTTAGCCTCGAGTGATCCACATGCTTCAGCCTCCCAAAGTGCTAGGATTACAGGTGTGAGCCTCTGTGCCCAGCCCCATTCACATACTTATTCTCAGACTTCCTTGTCACCAATCTCCCAATTCTCTTCCTTCCAAGACCCTGATCATCCAGCTAAACTATTAACAACTGCACATAAATTAATGTATATCTTTATTTCTGGCTATCTCTCGCTTAAGGCATAGTAGACAACCAAAACAGTTATGTTCATATAATGTTAATGGTTCATGCAAATTGAATTCTATAAGTGAATGACACTTCATACTGAATCCAGCTACAAGACTCCCTAGATTCATTTAGTACTAGCTGACTCCCAAGCCTTGCCAACTCGCTCAATGGAATCCTACCAGCTGTCATTGTCACCTTTCACTTAATATTTATCACTCTCTCAATCTTTCTCAGAGTGATATCTAGACTTAAACATAAGTCTATGGCTCCTGCCATGGAAGAAATCACAGCAAATTTACCAGCTCCTGTCCAACTCAACAATACCATACTATGGGAAGTATGACCTGGATTTCCCAATAGAATTCCAAGTGGCCAGGTAATATAACTCAGAATTGCAGTGACATTAGTGTCTATGGCATAAACCTTGACCAAGAGAACTACAAGAGGCAAGTATATACTGGCAAATAAATCTATTCATTTCCTCCTGCTGCTGATTATTCCAAGGCACAGAGATTCTAGAGATGATCTCAGGAGACATCTCTTATGACTGAACAACTGCCATTTTTTGGTGTGTGAACCTGTACTTAACTAGTTGAGAAATGATTTTTTATTTGTGTTCCTTTTTCCCTATCTCACTTCCCTTCTTCCTTCACTTTTATTACCCTGAGATTGTACTCCCCAAGAAAGCATTATTAACATATATGCTTTGTCTGAAGCTCTGTGTTCTAGGTAATCTGGGCTAATATATATCATACATATTCTAGGCAATTTTTTAAAAGGGAAATTATGATGAATCTTGTGTGTTGCTACCTGTTCCTCACTTACTCTGTCTGTTATATTAGATTTCCATAAGTTGTACTTCAAAATCTTATTCTACAGTTTGTTCCAAGTTTTAAGTTATAATGATTTTTAAATTATAAGATATCTTCTCAACAGTGGTTCAGTGGGGACAGAAAAGGAGGAAGAGATTTACAGAAAATCTAAATTAAATCACATGGATTATCATAGTTTACTTTTTTAATTCAGAAAATTGACTTTAACAGCTAAAATAATAGGTCCTTATGGCATTTAACAAACAACTGCTCTTCATCAGTATTCCCAATGGTTTAAGCCACTGGCATTTATTGAATAGCTAAAGACAATGCTAAAATTCTGCTTCTTTTGGCCAACAAATGGAAAACCCAGATGCCAAGGTGAAAAAGATTTGTTCTCTGGTAGTAGCTACAGCAGCTGTCTACTTGGCACATTCCTTAGAAAGCTTCAAAGTTGCCTAGGATACAGACTTTGTAAACTGGGATCCTGCAGAGCCTTTAAAAAGATTTTTTTGTTTAATGCAAGACCTATGTCGACTTCAAATTAGCAATATAGCTTCTAATCTACACATATACACATATGCATTGATTTGCAGATCTACGGAAACAGGGCATATAATGAATAATACAAATTACGGGATCACATAAACTGTACATATTTTGTCATGACAAAGAAAATATGACCCACATGTAGCTTGGAAGCTTTACTTTGGAAGTAAACGTTTGAAGATCATATTCCTGAACAGCTTTTCGTCAATGTTTAGACCTAAGTTTCTGCACTAATCAATAATTATAAAATTGCCCTCAGTAATACTAATTTAACAATTTAGTTTAACAAGCAAGTAGAAATCAGAGTAACACAATCCTAATCACAATATGTTATCAAACACTGTCAAAATGAAGTGAAAGGTGATAGGTGTCAGTGTTTGAATCGTTGAATTCTATACTTAAAATGGGTAAATATTGTGGTGTGTATTATACTTCAATAAAGCTTTTTATAAAAATAGAATTTAAAAATCACAGATTATTGTAAAGAAAACAATAGATATATGGGAGCATGCACACACTCAAACATGTGTGCACACACCTTCTGTAGGCTGAAATTCCAACATCTGTGTCTTAGCCACTTAAAACCATCTCTAGACACCTAACTCCACATACATACCACTGTGTGAATGAGCAGCTAGGAGTGGCTGTTTTCAGACTACTCCTAAGTTCACTATCCTTGTAACTTGGCTGTAATCACCAGAAACCTCATGTTGGTAACCTCTATAGCTGATCAGATGTTCCCTGATATACAGTAAATTTTGGCCATAAATAAAAGACAGTTTTACATTACCCAATTTAGGCACCTGTGTTTCAACATTTTAGATCACTGGAATACATTTGTAGCTGTTCCTTTCAGAAAGAATGTTGCATGTACTCTAAGAAAGGGGAAATACTGAGTCAGGCAGATTGATGGTATTTTACACTGAAGAAAAGACCTTTGAAAGTTTGCCAGGCTTTGAGAAAGGGTCAGCCAGAGCCCCCACAAGAAGGCAGTTTTCCCATCTTCCTGTCAATAATACTTAGCATGCGGAGTTGTTTTATCAGACAGATGGTGGACTATGCACCATTATGACCAATACAATGTTGTCACTTGTGCAAAAGGGTCCCATGAAGTGTTAAGCTCCTCTGCCACCTCAGAGATGGCTCTGTTTGTGCAACCCTTTATAATTTTGCTGTATTAATTCTCTGTCCCTAATGTCAAGAATGACACGTCATAACGAAACTTGGATGTTAAAATCAACTTTGAAGACTTTAATTCAGTTTTAATAGATTTTTGACTTATCAAAAATGTATCAGCAATGATATAATTAAGATTTTAATTAACTCATAAATTTTTTTCAAATTAAAAATTCTCAAACCTATGTTAGCATTCCAATTGAGGTATAATTTCTTCTGAATTTAAAAATCAGTTTTAAAATGAATTTAGATATTCTAAACCTGAGGGGGAAAAAATCTTTTTTTTTCCATAAAATACATTTTACAAATTCTTCAAATTGAAATAAGAAGTCCTTTTAAATTTAAGGGGAGGTTTGTTATTTTTATCTGAAACTTATTTATATTCATAGAGTTCCTGAAATAAATACTTCTCAAATAATTTGGTGAAAATTTTTCTGACACTTAAAAAAACAAAAAGATGTGAAATTGTGGTCAGTGGAATGCAACAGATGTATATGAACTTATTTTTAAGCTGAAAAACAAATGGAGGCTTAGTAAGTAAAATATCTGTAATTTTGTCAATACTTTGTCTTTGCATTGGATAGAACAAATATAAAATGTTAACCAAAGAAATATACATTTTACAAGACTTATGTAGTTATAAGTAGGTTATAAAATTAACCTATAATAATTTTTTAACAAGAAGCTAAGTACTGGAGGTAGCTTCTTTGTATAAATGTTATTATTTCTAGAAATAGATAAAAATTAAGTGGTTAGAAGTGTTGGATGAACCTGGAGACAAATACTTCATAACTTCCAGTAATATTCCCATATAATGGAACTATGATCTATCTATCTGATCCATACTGGAGGTAGCTTCTTTGTATAAATGTTACTATTTCTAGAAATTGATAAAAATTAAATGGTTAGAAGTGTTGGATGAACCTGGAGACAAATACTTCATAACTTCCAGTAATATTCCCATATAATGGAACTATGATCTATCTATCTGATCCAATTACCACACATTTATATCTTTACATTCAGAGAAAGCACAAGCAGAAAGACACACTTAAGGTTTTCCAAACAATGTGTGGTGAAATTGTTAAAGTTCTGATTTCCCAAAATTGTCAGTAACTATCCTGTTAACAGCAACAAACGGGAACTAGTCACACTACATTAAGTTCACATTTAAAACAGGAAAGCATCATTCTTTCTCAACATAGTATAACTGATTTAAAAGCATTAACAAAATATGGGACAGGTAAATATCTCCATGTGGAGTCACCAAGGTAGTCATTGTACCCCAGGTTTTTTTTGAATAATTGGTTTATATGGGTATTTGCTTACATAGATTGGATTCTGAATTTTTTTTTCTTTCAAGCTGAAGCTGTTTTCGTTCACACTTGGGGTCCTCCATCTGTCGATAAAGCCTGTTAGCTCACCACCTCACTGGCTCCGAGGTGCTAGTTTTCCATCTGGTAAAGCCCTAAAGGGAACCCCAGAGTCAGGGAAGCGTGAATCCTGTGGGTGCTCTCAACTCTAGGGCTTATGTCCCCAAAGGGATGGGGTCTTTTTGACAGTCAGCAAGTGTTTAGAAGCAATACAATTGGAACCTGCTCATGGCTTCTTCTAGACCAAAAGACAGCTAGTGGCAGTCCAGGCAAGGCACTGGACTAAGCTGTTAAATGAAAAAGATCAGCTTCTGGTATCCTCCCACTTTCCTTTTCTGGCCCCTTTCTCCTTTCTTGGCCTACATTTCTTTATTAACTAATTAAGAAGGACTCTTCATATAGATAGTTACAAACTGTCTCACAATGCTATGTGATAAATTAAAATTAGTTAGGAAATTGGGATAAAAATAACTGGTAAAAAAAGATCCTTTAGCCTTACTAGAATTCAGTCATAAACTGAATACTGAGTACCTTAGTAGTTTGTTCAAAGAGAAAACGTACATGATTAATGGTGTTCATAACATTTTAAAAAATAATCAATTGATATGAAAAAAACCCAGACATTCCTAGCACTGAGATTTGAAAGAAATTATTTTCATGTATTCTTATTAAAAGGTCACTGCATGGAGTAGAGAATGCACCCTTAACAATATCATCTAGGAACTACAAGTTTTATGGGGCTATTGTTAATAATGGCACTCAGTAAACTAATAGCAATGCTTTGGAATATAGCTGAACAAAAGCAAAGCAATGTGGTCTAAATTCACTGCTTTCTATTGTCAGCATGAACCCAAAAACAAAGGTGTCTGTGAGTTTGAATTTATACTGTCTGCAAAGTACCTGACTGTAGTTCTTTTTCTTGGCCAATTAAGCGTAGACCATATGCCCTGATAGTCATTCATCCTGGAATTAGGGTTGAGATTTTAGAAAATATGAAAAGACTAACTAGACATTTGCTTAAATAGAAAGCCACTGAACTTCTTGAGAATGTGCCAAGGGGCAAATTGATGGCTGCTTACAAGACTGAAACTTTACTCAAATAATTAACAATTCTGGATTTAATCCAGAGAGAGAGAGATAATTGGTAATAAAAAGCCCCAATTTTCTACAGCAAAGGATAACCTCGAAATCATTTTAGGCAGGGAAGATTTTGAAGAAACATCACCTCACATGAAGACTTGTTTTATTTATTGGTTTTGCGGTCTTATCTTTTCTGGCAAAGTGTTCTTGAAGAAAACAACTTAGTCTTACTGACACAAAAGATTGCAGTTTCCATTATGTTTCTCAGCTCTGTGTTCTTCTGCACTGGTTTCAGCTTCAGGTAGACTTCCCCATTTTGACAAGATGACAGATTCCCCAAGTGACAGTCCCTGAGAAACAAGATGACCACCAGACATCCCAGAAATATATTCTACCAATTTATCTACCCCAAGTAAAAGAGAGTGCATCTTCCTTAACCATAATAGCAAAAGTTATGGGCCTGTTTCTAATTGTTTCAATTTAAATCAAATTCCCATCATGAGCCAACCACAGTGGCCAGATGGATACAGTACACTGTTAGCAGTTCTGGATCATGTGGGGGAATAGAGTGCAGGAAAAGGTAATTTTATCTAAATTTTATATACCAGAGGCAAACTATAGTCCACAAGTAGGCTACCAGGTTATGAAAATAAAGACTTGTTGAAAAGTATTGCCATGTATATATTTGTTTGTGAATAGTCTGTGGTTGCTTTCAGGGTACAATAGCAGAGTTGAATAGTTGCAACCAAAACCATGGCCTGAAAAGCCTCAACTGTTTACTCTCTGACCCTTTAAGAAAAAATTTTCTAACCCCTTACATAAACCAAAAATGGGAATGAGTGGTTGTCAAAAGAAAAACAAGGGATTCCTTTTTTAAAAAAATGAGTAAAATAAATGCTATACAGACAAAATCAATATATACCTCCAAGACAAAATGGTTACAAAAGATATGGTCACATAGCTAAATTAGTAGAGGTGATTTTGGAGGCCATCTTAAAAAATGGTATTTGATTTTCAAAAATTGTCTTCTACAGTCACTTTAATTGACAGTACAGTCATTCTGTATACACATGGAAAGGTGGCTAGCTTTCTGTTCTCAAGAGAAGGGGCAGAGATAATGAAACACTTGAATCCAACTCACATCAAGTAATATCAAGGCATTGACATACAAGTTAAAAAACAGGAAAAAAAAACTTAGCTAATAATGACTAAGGCCAGGTGATGATAGCTTAGACACGTGGCAGACATTGTACTAGGTACTTATTATATATTTTCTCATCTAATCCCCACCATCAACTTTATGAGGTAGATATTATTATAACCATTTTACAGAATAAGCTAAAATAGGACAAAGAATTTTCCTGGGCCATAAAAGTTAGCAGTAGAACTAGTATCTGAATCCATGTTTTTTCTTACTCTATTATACTGTTTTCCCTGTGAAAAATAAATAATAATTTGTGGTGAGGCAAACAGAGCATGACTCAATCTAGAGTTGACTGTTCTAGTGCTATGCTCAGTTTTATCCCCATGGCAGTTGTCAAGCATTCAAGGAATGTTGGGGCTGTCAAATATTATACAAAGGTCTCTTTAACAGATGTTATCCCTCATGAACAAATTCTCATTTCATATGATATGCCAGGAACCTAAAGGATTTGGGAGTTTACATGATTCATTTGGCTCACAACATAGTAGTAACCTAAACAAGTGGATAGAGAACTTGATTGAGAGACCAAAGAACTGGATTCTATTCCTGGCTTTCCCAGGTATCTGCTGCATAAATGTGAAAGCCAACAAACTATTGTTTTTAACATGTGGATGAAGCTTTATGTGCTTCTGAAGAATGCTGTGAGCATTAACATAGGAAAGAAACTTGGGTTGTTATGGAAGGCATTATGTGTTTCAATGCCATGCCACAACATTTTAGAAAGAAAACACAACTAGGGAGAGTTGTGGAAAAGGGAACAGTTGTTTTGGAGCTAAAGAAAAATTTTCAAATGTATAATCATTATTTTGATGATTTAAAAAAAACTTTTATTATGGAAATTTTCAAACATACACAAAAGCAGAGAAGAATTATTTATACCATGTACTTAGTCCCAGTTTAGGCAACTATCAATATGTGTCCAATCTTGTTTTATCTAAACCTCAACAATACTGTGCCCAGTGTGGATTATTCAAACAAACCTCAGACATCATATCATTTCATCCATAAATTCTTCAAAAACATTTATCCAAAAGATAAGAAATCTGTTAGAAAGCACACAGAGTTGTAATAGCATTATCATAATCTTAAAAATTAATAAATTTTTAATGTCACTAAATATTCATGTATTGGTCAAACATCTCATTATGTCATATATATTATTTCATATATATGTGTATATACATATATGTGTGTATGCATATATATATATGAATGATTTGTCCTAGAAAATGTTCCATATTCAGGATTTTTGCCGAATGCATCCCCATGGTGTTATTACAAGTTCCTTTTTGCCTTGTATTTCCTGTAAACTGGTGGTGGATCTAGAAGCTTGGTCACATTTAGGTTTCATTATTTTTGACAATAATAAAACATATAAATTATATGTTTTGTCTCCCTACTGTATCTCATTAGGATGCACATATTATCTAATTGTCCCTTTTTTATGCTAAAAAGATTAATACTTTCAGCTGTGGTCCACCTGACTCCTCCACTAGAAAATGTGGGACTCCTTTTAGGGATTCATATAATTTTTCAAGGTATAAGTTGGCACAGTTTCAAAAAGGACCAATACCTTTTTGGAAAAGGCTGTGTCCCTGCTACCAGCTATGCTGTTTTGCAATCTATTGACACAGGATTTTGTTGTGAGGATTCTGAAGTGAGAGGATAAAAAATTCTGAGGTTTTCCAGTGTAACTAGGGAGGACAACTTTCTCTGAAATATCCTTTTTAGTATTGTAAAGAAATTAAAGGCCAATCCAGTACCTCTTCCACTAGCAGTTTCCTCTCTTCCCAATCTTCTCCCTCATTGTTTCACCAGGGGAAAATTGCTAATTCTACCTATTTATTAGACTATCACTCTGCCAAACCAGTAGGTTTCTTTCTTCTAGAATAACAAACCGTTTCCAAGAATTAGTCTTTCTTGAAAAAGTATTGAAGAAGCCATTTAAATTACTGGCCCCAATTGCTCTCTATGTCAGTTTGTCTGTTGAAACACATTTCTGGAACATTTAATATGTATAGGCATTGTACTAAACTCTGACAACACAGATACATTCCTACTCTCATGAAGTGTTTTAGAGAAGATACACATTAAATAAGAAGATAAACAAAATGTGCAAAGTGTTGATAAGAAAGTAAAGGTCTTATGATAATATTGAACAGGGGGCTCTAATAAAATTTTGGGAGTCAAGGAAGGTTTTTTTAGGATAGCTAATTCCAATGGGAGAGTAGAACTATGGATCTGGGGCTATTAAATAATTTTCCAGTTCCAAATGAGTCTCAAAGTTCTTGAGCACTTTCTCTGTTAAGAGTATCGTCTCACATGGCCTTAATATTCAGGACCAGAAGAATTGATATTAAACAACAGATAAGAAAGCAAAAAAAACTCCTTTAGTTATTACTGCAAATGAATCTAACAAACAAGGCCAATGTCAGGGCAGCAGTCTCTGTTGTGAACTTCAAAATGACACTCTGATCTGTCTGATAATTTCTTCACAAAAAGACCAACCTCATTTTTAGCTATCTTTCATAAGCAACTCTCATAGTACTTATGCATTTATGTGCTTGTGTGAGGTTTCTTTTGTAGGAATCAAAAATTAGGAGATAAATGTGGACATAGATTCAATGCTAAAAGACTTTATATAAAATCTTTTTATTTATTTATTTATTATTATACTTTAAGTTTTAGGGTACATGTGCACAATGTGCAGGTTAGTTACATATGTATACATGTGCCATGCTGGTGTGCTGCACCCACTAACTCGTCATCTAGCATTAGGTATATCTCCCAATGCTATCCCTCCCCTCTCCCCCCACCCCACAACAGTCCCCAGAGTGTGATATTCCCCTTCCTGTGTCCATGTGTTCTCATTGTTCAATTCCCACCTATGAGTGAGAATATGCGGTGTTTGGTTTTTTGTTCTTGCGATAGTTTACTGTGGAACCAACCCAAATGTCCAACAATGATAGACTGGATTAAGAAAATGTGGCACATATACACCATGGAATACTATGCAGCCATAAAAAATGATGAGTTCATGTCCTTTGTAGGGACATAGATGAAATTGGAAATCATCATTCTCAGTAAACTGTCGAAAGAATAAAATCTTTTTAAAAATCCATAAAGATACAATAGAAAATATAGACTAGGTACCAATAAATGTGGCAGCATCTTGATTTGTTTCACAGTTAGACTTTCCATTGGCAGAATAGTATAATGGTTAAGAGCAAGTGGGAGGACCTGAGTTCAAATTTCAGCTCTCCTATTTAGAAGCCCCATGACCTCAAGGCAGTCATATAATATCTCTATGCCCCACTTCTATCTTGTGACAAGGCATAATAGTAGCCTCTCTAAAGAGGTGAAGTGATGCTTAAACAATATGGCACACACAAAGAACTCAATATCATACCAGGCACATAGCAAAAATTTACTAAATGTTAGATATTATTATTATTAAATACAGACCAATGGATCACTGAAACCCTCAAAGCTGGATCCAGTGGTGAGTAAAAGCAGAGTGAAAGTGAGTGTAGGTCTAATACTCAAAAACATTTTTATGAATTCATTGACTAATCTTAACTCGTGTGTATCTAAGATGATGTTGAGCAGGTTACTTAACCTCTTTGAAACTAATTTTCTCATCTATATAATACATACATTAAAATCTACTTTACAAAATAGATACATAGATCAAACAGACAGTCCAGAAATAGTCCCACTTATATAAACTTCATTTATTTTTGACAAAAGAGCAGAGGTATTTTAATTGACAAGGAGAGTCTTCTGAAGAAATAGTACTGGAAAAACTGAATATTCACATGTAAAAGATGAATATCAACTCATATCTCCTGCTATATAAAAAAACCCAAAATGCATCATATATTAAAATGTAAAATATAAAAGTATAGAATTTCTAGAAAGAGACAATAGGAGAAAATCAGTGTAATCATGGATTAGGCAAAGATTTCTTACATATAACACCAAAAGTGCAATTTATATAAGAAAATGTTGCTATATTGGACTTTGTAAAAAAAACTTCTGCACTACGAAAGACACTATTAATAAAGTGAAAAGAAAAGCCATAGACTGGGAGAAAATATTTGTGAATCATATATTTGACAAAAGACTGGTAAGCATATAAAGTAACTAGAATGTTCCTACTTGCTGTGAGACTGAAAAATAGAATGGTTACTTTGGAAAACAGTTTGGTCGTTTTTCACATGTTTGAACAAACATACATACCATATAATTCAGTAATTCTACTAGTAAGTATTTACCTAAGAGAAATAAAAACTGATGTTTATACAAAAAATGGTACATGAATGTTTATAGAAACTGTATTCATAACTGTCCAAAACTAAATACAAACCAAATATTCTCCAAATAGTGGATAAAACACCTGTGATACCTCCATACAATGGGTACTCCTCAGCAATGCAAAGGAATAGACTACTAAGGCACACAGAAACATGGGCAAATCTTAATGCATTACCCTGAATGAAACAATCCAGACACAAAAAGCTACATACAATATAATTCAATTTATGTTCCATTTTTGGAAAAGGCAAAATGTTAGGGACATAAAGTGGGTGAGGGAAGGTATGACTATAAAGAACATAAAGAAATTGTTATTAAAACTGTTCTATATTTTGATTGTGGTGATGGTTACATGACTGTGTGAGCTTGTCAAAACAAATAGAACTGTGCACCAATGAGAATGAATTTTAATGTACATAAATGATATCATAATAAAATAATTTCCAAATTCTTAAAAACAAAAATTCTTTAGTGGTCAGAGTTGTATGGTAGCTGTAATAACAGTACTAGTATTAGTGTTGGAAAATCCTGTCAAAAATTAACAATATTTCCCCAAAGTTTTCTTTTATGTAATTAATACAATACTCAGGCCAGAAAACAAACAAACAAAATGACCTTATGAGAATGTTCAAAAATTAAATGAGAGGGCAGCCAGCCAGCACCCCAGTGGACTCTATCAACAGGCATTGAGCAATAGGCACACAGTAAACGGCAGCTGTTGTTACTGGTTTGCAAGGCCTTTTATTAATTTTACCATAAACCACAAGATGGAAAAGACAACTAATACAGACACAGTTAAGTTCCAGAAGACTTCTGGACTTCAAATGATGGACTAAAACCAGCATAAATTTACATAAAAAGAAACGAAATACCTACATATTTTCATAACTCAATGAGCCAAATGCATGATAGAAGTGACTTGTTTTTATGGCAATTAATATGAGGAAGAGCAGGGAGTTTTTTGCTGAGAACAAGATCAGTGTGAGTCAGTGGGATGGCCTTGTTACTTAAAGAAAACATAGGCTGCATTATTTAAAACATTCTCAATTTAAGGGAAAAATTTTTCACAACTCTCCACACTCAGCAGGCCTCACCTAAAAAACAGTGTCCATCTCTATACCAGATTTTACTAGGGACACTGAAGAGTTGGACGGGGCATTTGGATAAATGTAACCAAAGTGAAACCATCATCTCCTTCTTCATGCAACATCCTCTTCTCCTTGGTTTCTGGGACACCACTGTCTTCATAACCCTCATATTCCTGAATGACTCCTCTTAGTCTCCTTTGGCTGCTGGTAGGCTTACAAAATCCATCCTTCACTTCTTCAATAGAAGTCAAGATTTAGCTGGGCAGTGATGATGAGCATTTTTTCATGTGTCTGTTGGCTGCATAAATGTCTTCTTTTGAGAAGTGTCTGTTCATGTCCTTTGCCCACTTGTTGATGGGGTTGTTCGTTTTGTGCTTGTAAATTTGTTTGAGTTCTTTGTAGATTCTGGATATTAGCCTTTTGTCAGATGAGTAGATTGCAAAAATTTTCTCCTATTCTGTAGGTTTCCTGTTCACTCTGATGGTAAAATGAAAAAATGCTTGTCATCACTGGCCATCAGAGAAATGCAAATCAAAACCACAATGAGATACCATCTCACACCAGTCAGAATGGCGATCATTAAAAAGTCAGGAAACAACAGGTGCTGGAGAGGATGTGGAGAAATAGGAACACTTTTACACTGTTGGTGGGACTGTAAACTAGTTCAACCATTGTGAAAGACAGTGTGGCGATTCCTCAGGGATCTAGAACTAGAAATACCATTTGACCCAGCCATCCCATTACTGGGTATATACCCAAAAGAATATAAATCATGCTGCTATAAAGACTCATGCATACGTATGTTTACTGCGGCAATACTCACAATAGCAAAGACTTGGAACCAACCCAAATGTCCAACAATGATAGACTGGATTAAGAAAATGTGGCACATATACACCATGGAATACTATGCAGCCATAAAAAAGGATGAATTCATGTCCTTTGTAGGGACATGGATGAAGCTGGAAACCAACATTCTCAGCAAACTATTGCAAGGACAAAAAAACAAACACCACATGTTCTCACTCATAGGTGGGAATTGAACAATGAGAACACCTGGACACAGGAAGGGGAACATCACCCACTGGTGCCTGTTGTGGGGTGGGGGGAGGGGGGAGGGATAGCATTAGGAGATATACCTAATGTAAATGACAAGTTAATGGGTGCAGCACACCAACATGGCACGTGTATGCATATGTAACAAACCTGCACGTTGTGCACATGTACCCTAGAACTTAAAGTATAATAAAAAATATATATATTAAAAAGAAAAAGATTTAGCTGGGCATATGGTCACTAAAGCCTCCCTACAGCTAGCTCTGGACGCATGATGATCAGAAGAGATGTGTGCAACTTTCATGCTATTTTCTTAAAAGGAAAGTCCTTGACCTCAACTCTCTCTCTTTCTGCTTCTGTAGATGAAAAGCCAATGAAGATCTGAGACAGCACAACCTAAGGAATGGGGGAACAACAGGATGGAGAACCTGGGTCCATGAATGATCTCATGGAGCAGAGCTGCTTACCCATCTTGAAATATGTGGCATTCACTTAGTGTTCAAGAATTTAGTGGCAAAACACACACTCACACTCACACACACACACTCTTACACATGCAGATTTTGAAATTTGGAAAGCTGATAACTCTGGTGATGCTATGGTAAAATATTCCATAAAACTGACATGAGCTAACTTGGGAAGGATATAACTTTTCCACAGAATCTATAGTATGGGGGCAAACCATTGAAAAGGGCAGAATGTGTGTGTTGACAGTTGCTTGATATTTTTATAAGATGCTATAAGACAGAGATGGATTGACAATTGACCAGTTTGCCGGCAGCTTTTTAACGGGAGATCCCCCTATGCCTGCAGCCTATAATCTGTATTAACTAGAAGCAATTAACTTATTCCCCTGCAGATTTGGAAAAGCCAACTACTTCTACTCACCAAAGAGCAGAAAGTAAGACTCCAGACTTAAAGGAAAAGAAGACTTCCCTTTTAACTCACTAAGTCCTCTAGGCCAGAAAATGTGACCTGGCTCAGTGGCAGACATAAGATTAAATGTGTTGCTTCTTCTCTTAAACCCATAATTTTAAGTGGTGTCAAATTACCACTGCTGTAATTTTACCCACAAACTTGATACCAACTCTGATTACGCCATGCTCTCTCCACTGCCTGATCCTTGTTCAAGTTACCATCATCTCTTGCCAAGAATATTAAAAGAGCTTTAAAACTGAATGTCCTGCATCCACACTTGCCATTCAGTGCTTGGCACCTCAGCCACAGTGACACTTTACGTAAGGTAAAATGTAATCCATCCGTTTAAAAAAATCACAGCTCTTAAAGTAAGTGTATTTCGCTAAAATTTAAAACAGTTTATGAGGTCCTGCAAGGTCCAGCCCCCAACCACCACCCCTCTAGCATACTTTTTAATAAACTTATTTTTTTAATGGTTTCATATTTACAGGAAAATTGCAAAAACAGTACATAGCTTCCATCTACCCCACATTGAGTTTCCCCTATTTTTAATATCTTACATTAGTATGGTACATTTGTTACAATTAATAAACTAATATTGATATAATATTAGCTAAAGTTTATATTCTGATTTCCTTATTTTTTTTCCTAGTGTCCTCTCACTATTCCAGGATCCCACTCAGCAAACCACCATATATTTTGTTGTCCTATCTCTTAAGCTTCTCTTGACTATGACAAGTGCTCAGAAGTTTCTTGTTTTTCATGATCTTGACAATTTTGAGAAGTACTGGTCGGATCTTTTGTAAACCATCTTTCAGTTTCAATTTGTCTGATATTTTTTGCATGATTAGTCCAGGGCTGTGAATTTTTAGAAAGACTACAGTGGGAAAATGCCATTTTCATCCTATACTAGCAACATGATTGATCACTGTTGACGTTGACCTTGTTCATCTGATCCCAGTATTATTTTGTCCCATTCTTCATCTCTCAAAATTCTATCATATACATTGCTCAGACTCACCACAATCCCTTCATAACATATTGCTCCCTCTCTCTGGAGCACTCACTTCTCCAGCCTCCACTTTCACATTATTAGCACCAAATCACCCCTCTGATCTCTGTTCCTGTCTCTTTCTCAGCAAATACTTCTCAGAAGGCCCCAGTCCAAGTCAGGTTTATATTGTTTGTCTGGTTGGTTGCTTTTTTTGTCTTACATTTTTGTAGAATCATAGAATCATGTTTAGTGTACTTATTTGTTTGCCTTGGTTCAATCATCACGTAATTACGTAACTCTGTTGCTGCC